>NC_000003.12:91345173-91364131 GCF_000001405.40 Homo sapiens | reverse complement strand
CTCCTGAATAGATGGATTACAGGCATGCCCCGCTAATCCTCCCTCCCCTTTTACTCTGCGGTCTGTGTCCTCTTTCTGTTCACTCTCAATGCCCTCTTTCTAAAGAGGGTGCCAGTTTACTTGATGGTCTTGTTGGGAGACCAAAATAGGCTCTCTTGGTGGGAGAAGCTTTTCTTGGCTGTGTCTAGTCAGCCATCTTGGCTCTTAGCCCTTTCTTGTCTTCTTAAAGTCTACTTTGTCAGATATTTATACAGCTACATGTTTGTTTTGTATTGTATTTTAACTATTATATTAATATGTATTTTAATTATTTTATTATATGTATTTTAATATGTATAATTAGCTTTTATACAATTTTGGTTGTTTCTGTGGGATATATTTTTCTGCAATTTTATTTTTAAACTTTCTATATCATTATACTTAAAGTCATCTCCTCTAAGCAGCATATAGCTTAGGCTTTGCTTTTGTATACAATCTGGTAATCTTTGTCTTTATTTGCACATTGGTTCCATTTACATCTAATGTAATCACTGATATATTTGGTTTTAAATCTACCACTTATGTTTTGTTTTCTATTTGTTTCATCTGTTCTATGGTGTTCCTTTTCTCTCCTTTCTGGATTTCTTTAAAAAATTTTGTTTCGCTCTTACATTTGCTTGTTAATTATATAGTATTTTACTATTCTTTTACTGTTTAACCTAGAATATATAACAGGAATCCTTAACTTATTAAAATCTAATATAAATTAGTACTTATGTTTACTATTTCAAGATAATGCAAGCACCTTTATTTCCATTTATCTTTCTCCTGCGTTATATGTTAACATTTAATTATATATTTTAAACCCTTAATTCTCTCTGTATTTTAAGCAATACATTATTATTGTTTTATGCAGTTATTGTTTATTTAGCTCTATCTACATATTTATTTACCCGTTTCATTACTCTTTATTCTTTCCTGAATTTTCATTTGGAATTATTTTCCTTCTAACTGAATAACTCCTTTTAGTATTTTCTTTAGTATGGGTAAGCTGATGACAAATTCTCTTAGTTCTTGTTTGGTAATTTCTTTATTTAACATTCCCTTTTGAAGGATATTTTTACAATGTATAAAATTCTAGGTTTGAATTCAAGTATACATTAATAGATAGTTTAAAATTTTTATTTATGTGTATACAATAGAATATCGTTCAACCTTTAAACAGAAGAAAATGGACACATGTTGCAACATAGATGAATTTTGAGGACATTGTGCTAAATGAAATATACCAGTCACAAAAAGACAAATAGTACATAACTACACTTATATGAGATATCTAAGGCAGTCAAATACATAGAAACAGAAAGTAGAATGGTGATTGCCAGGTCACTGGGGGGAGGAGAAAGAAGAAAAGGGGTTGTTTAATTATATGTACTGAATGTTATGTTCACCCCAAATCCATGTTAACACCCTAATTCCCATTGTGCTGGTAGTTGGAAGTGGGACCAACTTTGGGAGGTAGTTAGGTCACAAAGGTAGAGCTCTCATGAGTAGTGCCAGTGTGCCCTTTATAAGAGGAGACATAAGAAAGATGATCTCTCTCTCACCACCATGTGAGGATACAGCAAGAAGGCAGCTATTTGCAAACCAAGAGGACTCACACCAGACACCAAATCTGCTGGCACTCTAATCTTGGTCTTCTTAACCTCCAGAACTCTGAGAAATACATGTTTGTGGTTTAAGCCACTCAGTCTATGATATCTTGCTATTGTAGCCTGAATTAAAACAAATAGGGGTAGAGTTTCTGTTTTACAACACAAACAAGTTGTAGAGATTGGTTGCACAATAATGTACATATATTTAATACTGCCTAACTTTACTCTTAAAATGGTTAAAATGGTAAATTTTATGTTATGTGTATCTTCTCACAACTTTTTTTTAAAGTCTAGGTTTGCAGTTGTTTTCTGTACCACTTTAAATGTTATTTTTTTTGTCTTTTGGTTTCCATTGTTTCTGTTGAGAAGTTAGCTGTCAGTCCTAAAATTGCTCCTTTGTAGGTAATACATCTTTTGTTTCACACTGCTTTTATGTTGTTCTCTTTGTCTTTAGTTTTCAATAGTTTATTATATACATAGGGTATTTTTTCTAGTTCTGTAGGAGATGTGTGATACTTCTGAAATCTGAAATTTGATGTCTTCAGTTTTAGAAGATTTCCTGCCATTGTCTCTTCAAATATTGCTTCTTCTCTTTCATTTCTAGAGACTGTCTTTTTACTTTCTGTTTTTTAGTTTATATATTTTTATTGAGGGACAATTCTCCATGACATTTCTATATATTTTGTAGATCTTTTCAAGGATGTTTGTATAGCAAACCAAGATAGAAGTAGTGTTTCATTCTAGGGTGGAGGGTAACTTTGTTTCATCAGCATCATAAAGATAATGTCCTCCTCTGAGACAAAGATTGGTCAGGTTTGCTAGAAGTCCCGCATAAGATTAGGGATTTCCTAAGCCTGAGACTCCTCAGCAGTGACACAGATCTATTATGTCAACAGACTCTACTTAGACTCACCTCTGTATCACTCCCATGGGACTGGGGATGGGGAGTGGGTTACAGGGGAACTAAAGCCTTGAGTAGTATCTTTGTCTCTGACAGAGCAGTCTGATGCTTTCTTTCAGCATCTGTGAAATTGCGACAGCCTAACTTAGCTTGCAAGTAGGCTAAAATCTCAGAACACTCAGAGTTCATGACAATTTTCTACTGAGCTATATTTTAGTTCACTAATGCTCTCTTGATTGCTGTGACTAATCCACTGTTAAATATATTGGGATTTTAATTTCTCTTACTGTATTTTTTTAGTTCTAGAATATCCATTTGATTCTTTCGTGTAGCTTCTAGTTCTCTGTTAGGATTCTGAATCTAATTCTCGATTTTTTAAAAAACGTAACTTTCACAGGTATTTTTAAGCCCCAGTTTGTTAACTCCAGTGTCTGGATTGCCTGTGAATTTATTTATGTTGTTTGATTTTTTTTGATGGGCTTATCTCTACAAGTCCCAGCCAGAAGCCTTGGGTTTTTATCAAGGCTAGTATTCCTTGGAAATCCCAGGACTCCAATTTTTATGTTCCCCAACTCCATGAATCTGCTGTAAGGTGTGCTGCAGTTTAAGCTAGAAGCAGACTACCGCAATCCGAATAGGGATGGATGTTATTTAAGACTAGGTTTCAGCCTTCGTGACAACAAAGACCATATATAGCTTTTGAGGGGTCCAAAATGAAAGCTCAGGGTATTAAGGAGGACTCATCTTGCTAGGCCTTGAAAGATTGACAAAATTCTTCCAGTTTATCTAAGACTTTCCCAATTGTAGTACTAAAAGCCCCAAATCCTGAGAAACCCCTCAGTCCCATGAAAACTGGACAGTCATCCTAGTTTTGAACTCCAATTTTTTAAATCTCAATATTTATTTCAGAAGGCTAAAAACTCCAATTAGCTTTTCAGTTTTTTGACTGGTCATTGTGAATCAGCAAATATCTAACGGGTTGAAAGGATGCCATGTCCCCATATAAACCCAAGCTCATTTCCATTGTTCGGCCTTTAAACTTGCCTTTCCTTTGTCTGACATGGTCTTCTACTAAATTTTCTTGCAACTGTCATTATTCATGGCTCAGCTCAAGCATCATCTCTTAAGAACAACTTATGTAAAGCAGCCTCATTCTCAGTGTACTTTCTATCCCAATGCTCCATTATATGTTCTTCATAACTCATCACTATCTCAAATTACTCACTTGTTAGATTACATTTTTATTACCTGTCTTATCCTCATCTAAGTATATATTCTGGGAAATAAACTCCATAAGAACAAGTACCTTGTTTATCTAGTTTATTTCCATATACACAGCATCTAGAACAGTCCTAGAACTTAATAGGGCTCAATAAATACTTACTGAATAAATAAATAAATGTCTTCTGCTGATTTGTATTTTCCAAAATTTCTCAAAACCTTAAGGCTGCCTAAATGCAAGTTGCACCACAGTTAATAATTCCTTACCTATTTGAGTCCTTTCTCAAGTAGATTGAAATTGAGTTGTTTTATAGGGGTCGTTTTCCCAATTGTTTTTGCAGTTAACCAATGCTATGGTTGAATGTCCCTTCCAAAACTCATGTTGACATTTCATTGCCATATGATAGTATAAAAGGTAAAACCTTTAAGAGGGGATTAAAGGTAATCCATTATCACCCCTGTGATTAATGCTATTATTACAGGCATGGATTAGTTACCATAGGAAGTAAGTTCCTGATAAAAAGGAATTCTGCCCAGTTTCTCTCTTGTGCAAGTGCTTCTCATTATGTGATGCCTTCTGCCATGTTATGATGCAGAAAGAAGACCCTCACCAGATGCAGCCCCTCAGCCTTGGACTTCCCAGCCTCCAGACCTTTTCTGTATAAGTTACCCAGTCTGTGGTACTCTGTTATAGAGAGAAAATGTGCTAAGACAACCAAAGATCACACTGCAAGACCTAGAAGTTTAACTTAGAATAATTTAAATTCTCTGAGAAATTCACAGCTTAACAGCCCATGAACATCTTCATATGTCCTTCAGAAAGTCATGCAGGGGTGGCTTTATATTAATGACCAATCTGTCAAAGCAAAATGCAAATGATGATGAGTCACTTTGTCAAGTGGGTGTACTAGTGCTGTGGACTATTGATGAGCTCAAAGGAAGAGGTCATGCACTAGGGAACTCACACTGTGACAAAGATTCTCATTAGTGTTATTACTCTAAGACCTCTTATCAGCCAATAAGGCTCAAAAGGAAAAATAAAGAAAACCAGAACTGGGGCTGACATTGGGAAAATAATTATGCTGCTATTGTGATATTGCTTATGAAGTACACCCTCAAAAATAAATGACAAAATGCCTAAAATACAATTTTCTTGGTATACATTACTCAGTAAGATGAAGAGTATTTTATACATGAAGCAGTGATATGAGGATCTGATGATGGGCAAAACATTTTTATTGCATGCTTACAGAAGCCAGGTTAAGAAAGTAAGATGTATAAATATAATTAAACATCATACTCATAGCTACAATTTGTTGGGAGAACCAGCATCCTTGGCACCATCTTCAACACCATTCTTCCTCTCCTGCAAACCTTGTTGCTTCTAAAATCAAACATATTCACAACATGACCATATCCCACTACCTCATTGTTGTATCCTGTTCAAAAATGTTATCACTTCTTGCCCAAATTATTGTAGTAACTTTTAGCTGATTTAATCCGTTTCTAAATTGCTTGAACACCTAATGATGGCTCAGCAAAAACTAACATTTTAAAAGGTATTCATGAATAGTAAGGTACACCAAACTGAAACAGCTGTTTTTCTAAGCCTTTGCAAAGAAGGGGGAAAGCTATTGGGTGTGGAGGTGGGACAGAGGAAAACTATAGCCAGTGGGCCAAATCTCATCTGTTTCCTATCTTTGTAAATAAAATTGTATTGGAGTACAACCATACCTATTTATTTATGTGTTGCCTATGGCTGTTTGTACTACAATGGCAGGGTTGAGTAGTCCAAACAGAGATGTATGACCATCAAAGCTTATTATATTTACTATTTGACCTTTAAAGAAAAAAACTTGTCAGTTCCTGAACTTAGGATATAGCTCATGTTCTTGTAGAACCATTAGAATAAATCATACTATGTTTATTTTCCTTAAGTGTAGTTAGGAAGTATCTATACACATTATTCTTAAACTTCCAGAATATTTCCGTAAAGAAATTTTGTCAAAAGTCAAACCTAAACAAAGCTGCCTTCCTAACACAACCTTGGTGTTTCCAAGAAGTATATAGCTCAGTTCCAGTCATCTGAAAACTAATGTTCTGTCCATCAAAGTAATTAAAGTCTTCAGTCCACCACCATTTAAAATTAGTGCTCTGGCCAAACCGCCACAAATGCTCTATGTGACTCCATTTTCTGTTGTGTTTCCTTGTCAGATTTGATTCTTTATTTCACTGAAATGGACCAATTTTTGGAAGAATATTATTCCATTCTGAAAACTTCCTGTAAGGCATGCGTTTATTACATGGCATGAGGTGCTTGAATTAATGCACTACCTATATTCTCAAGGCTTTGAATACCATATGTCAAGTATATATTCTTATAGATTTGAACTTAAAGCATTCCTTCTGCTCACTTGACATTTCCCTGCATCTTCTATCTGTCTAAAACTAAACTCTCAATCTAACCCCTTCCCCTGCCCAGACCTGCTTACTTCAGCCATCTCCATCTAGTTACAGCAGCTCCACCCTTCTCATCACCTAGGCTAAACCACTTGAGTTCATCCTTAGTTTGGATATACAATGTGTGGGAGAGGAGTCTAACAGACAGTCTGTGATGGTTAAAACTGAGTGTCAACTTGACCGGATTGGAGAATGTATAGGTGTGTCTGTGAGGGTGTTGCCAAAGGAGATTAACATCTGAGTCAGTGGGCTGGGGAAGGCAGACCCACCCTTAATGTGGTAGGCACAGTCTAATCAGCTGCCAGCAAAAATAAAGCAGGCAGAAAAACGTGAAAAGGCGAGACTGGCCTAGCCTCCCAGCCTACATCTTTCTCATGTGCTGGATGCTTCCTGCCCTGAAACATCAGACTCCAAGTTCTTCAGTTTTGAGACTTGGACTAGCTCTCCTTGCCCCTCAAGCTTGCAGACAGCCTATTGTGGGACCTAGAGATTTATGAACTCATATATACATATATATACACACACAGACATATATACACACATATATACACATATATGTATATATACACATATATACATATGTATATACGTATACACATATATGTATATATACACATATATTTATATATGTATACACATGTATATATACACATTTATATATACATACATACACGTGTGTGTATACACGTATACGCAAATATACATGTGTGTATACGTGTACACACACACATATGTGTAAACACGTACACATATACACACATACATGTATATACACACATATACACACATACATGTATATAAACATACATATATACACGCATACATGTATATACACACATACATACACACATACATATATACATGCACACATACATGCATATACATACATATCTACACGTATACATATGTGTATGTACACATGCATACACACATGTATACATGTATACATATGTACATATACATGTATACATATGAACACGTACATATATACATGTATATATGTATACATGCATGCACATATGCATGCACACATGCGTGCACACATGTATACATGCATGTGCATATACATGCCTGCATGTGTGTACATGTATGTGTACAAATATACATATGCATACATGTAAGTGTATATACATGCATACATGCGTGTACACACGTGTATACATGTATGCATGTACACATCTATACATGCATGCATACACGTATACATGTATGCGTATATATATGTGTACATGTTTGCATATACACATATACATGAATACATGCGTATATATACGTGTATGTGTGTATATACATACATATATGCATGTACACATGTGTATATATACATGCATATATGCATGCATACATGTGTATATATACACGCATATATGCATGCATACATGTGTATTATACATACATATATACTCTATACGTGTGTGTATATATATATATATATACACACACACACACGTATACATACATATATGGGGAATTCCCTATGATCAGTTGACAGAGGAAGAGAAGACTAGGGCCTGGTTCACTGAGGGTTCTGCACAATATGCAGGCACCACCCAAAAGTGTACAGCTGCAGCATGACAGCCCCTTTCTAGGACATCCCTGAAGGACAGCAGTGAAGAGAAATCTTCCCAGTGGGCAGAACTTCAAGCAGTGCATCTGGTTGTACACTTTGCATGGAAGGAGAAATGGCCAGATGTGCAATTATATATTGATTCGTGGGCTGTAGCCAATGGTTTGGCTGGATGGTCATGAACTTGGAAGAAGCATGATTGGAAAATTGGTGACAAAGAAATTTGGGGAAGAGGTATGTTGATGGACCTCTCTGAGTAGTCAAAAACTGTGAAGATATTTGTATTGCATGTGAGTGCTCACCAACAGGTGACCTTGGCAGAGAAGGATTTTAATAATCAAGTGGATAGGATGACCTGTCCTATGGACACCACTCAGCCTCTTTCCCCAGCCACCCCTGTCATTGTCGAACAGGCCCATGAACAAAGTGGCAATGGTGGCAGGGATGGAGGTTGTGCATGGGCTCAGCAACATGGACTTCCACTCACCAAGGATGACCTGGCTATGGCCACTGCTGAGTGCCCAATTTGCCAGCAGCAGAGAGCAACACTGAGCCCTCGATATGACACCATTCCTCAGGGTGATCAGCCAGTGTCCTGGTGGCAGGTTGATTATATTGGAACTCTTCTATCATGGAAAGGGCAGAGGTTTGTCCTTATTGGAATAGACACTTACTCTGGATATGGGTTTGCCTATCCTGCCTGCAGTGCTTCTGGCAAGACTACCATCCATGGACTCACAGAGTGCCTTATCTACCATCATGGTATTCCACACAGCATTGCCTCTGACCAAGGCACTCACTTTATGGCTAAATAAGTGAAGCAGTGAGCTCATGCTCATGGAATTCACTGGTCCTTCCATGTTCCCTATCACTCTGAAGCAGCTGGATTAATAGAATGGTGGAATGGCCTTTTGAAGTCACAATTACAATGCCAACTAGGTGACAATACTTTGCAGGGCTGGGACAAAGTTCTCCCAAAGGCTGTGTATGCTCTGAATCAGAGTCCAATATATGATACTGTTTCTCCCATAGCCAGGATTTATGGGTCTGGGAATCACGGGGTGAAAGTGGAAGTGGCACCACTTACCATCACCCCTAGTGATCCACTAGCAAAATTTTTGCTTCCTGTTCCACGACATTACGTTCTGCTGGCCTAGAGGTCTTAGTTCCAGAGGAAGGAACACTGCCACCAGGAGGCACAACAACAATTCAATTAAACCGGAAGTTAAGATAGCCACCTTGGGCTCCTCCTACCTTTAAGTCAACAGGCTAAGAGGAGAGTTACAGTGTTTGCTGAGGTGACTGACCCAGACTATCAAGATGAAATCAGTCTACTACTTCATAATGAAGGTAAGGAGAAGTATGTATGGAATACAGAAGATGCATTAGGCTGTCTCATAGTATTACCATGCCCTGTGATTAAGGTCAATGGGAAACTACAACAGCCCAAGCCAGGCAGGACTACAAATGGTCCAGACTCCTCAGAAATGAAGATTTGGTTCACTCCACCAGGAAAAAATCTGCTACCTGCTGAGGTGCTTTCTAAAGGCAAAGGGAATACAGAATGGGTAGTAGAAGAAGGTAGTCATCAATACCAGCTGCGACCACATGACCAGCTGCAGAAACAAGGATGGTAACTGTCATGAGTATTTTCTTCTTTAGTTAATAACATATTTGTGCATTATACACTTGTACTAATAAAATATCTTCATTTCCTTTTCCTTTATCATGTGACATAAGATTTATTGACTTCCTATCAGCATTTAAGTATTGTTAACTTTATGTAATAGTATTTGGGTTGGGTGTTGGTGCATTTCCAGTTGTATGAAGGATGGTTGTATTATGTTAGTGCAGTTATGACCTCATTATTGTCTTTCTTTGAGATTGTGTATGATCTCAGGAGATGTGTATGGGTTCAAGTTGACAAGGGGTAGACTTGTGATGGTTAATACTTAGTGTCAACTTGATTGGATTGAAGGATGCAAAGTATTGATCCTAGGTGTGTCTGTGAGGATGTTGCAAAAGGAGATTAACATTTGAGTCAGTGGGCTGGAGAAGGCAGATCCACCCTTAATCTAGTGGGCACAATCCAATCAGCTGCCAATGAATGTAAAGCAAGCAGAAAAAGTGAAAAGGTGAGACTGGCCTAGCACCCCCAGCCTACGTCTTTCTCCCGTGCTGGATGCTTCCTGTCCTCAAACATTGGACTCCAAGTTCTTCAGTTTTGGGACTAGGACTGGCTCTCCTTGCTCCTCAAGCCTGCAGATGGCCTATTGTGGGACCTTGTGATTTATTAAGACTTAATAAACTAATATATATATATATACATATATAAATATATTTATTTATATATAATATATATTATATAAATATATAAAAAAATATATATATTTATAAAATATATTTATATATTATATATATTTATATATGTATTTATATATAATTTATATTTATATATAATTACATATATAATATATAATATATATATTTATTTATTTATATATATAAATATATGTAGGATCTCAAGAGATGTCTATGGGTTCAAGTTGACAAGGGGTGGACTTGTGATGGTTAATACTGAGTGTCAACTTGATTGGATTGAAGGATGCAAAGTATCGAAGCAAAGTATTGATCCAAGATATATATATATATATACTATTATATATATATCCTATTTTATATATATATATATATATATATATATATATATATATATATATATATATATATATAATCTCCTATTAGTTCTGTCCCTCTAGGGAACCCTAATACACAGTCTTATCGCCTTCTAAATAGATTCAGAACCTTCTTACTTCAAACTGTCTCCACAGCCACGCCCCTAGCTCAGGCCACTATTGTCTCCACCTGGATGATTGCAGAAGCCTCCCTGCTGGTTTCCCTGCTCCTGTCCCTTACAATCTGTTCTGAACAGAGCAGCCAGAGTGATCCTGTCAAAACTTGAGTCTGGTCATGTCCACTCCTCTGCTCAAAACCCTCTGATGGCATCCTGACTTGCTCAGGATAAAATTGGAAGTTTCTACAGTGATCTACAGGGTCTAGGTACCTATGACCTCTCTGGCTTCATCTCCTTATTATCTCCCTTGCTTATTCTGATGTAGTTACATAGGCCTCTTTATTATTCTTGGAACTTGATAGGCAAACCCGTCCTTTGCACTTGCTCTTCCCTTTGTCTGGAAGTGGCTTTCTCCCAGGTAATCCAGACAGCTTCCTCCCTCATTTACTTAAAGTCTTTGCTCAAATTCACTCCGTCATTTGTTGAATACCCTGTAAGTCAGCATCCCTGCCTTGAATATCCTTATACTTTATTCTAGCAGCTATCACCATCATTTCATTTTTAGGGTCCCAGAACAGAGACTTTCCTTTGTTCACTACTGTAAGCACAGTACCTATTATAGTGCTTAATCTAGGAGATACTTTTTTTTTTTTTTTTGAGATGAAGTCTTGCCCTGTCGCCCAGGCTGGAGTGCAGTGGTGTGATCTCAGCTCACTGCAAACTCTGCCTCCTGGGTCCAAGCAATTCTCTGCCTCAGCCTCCCAAGTAGCTGAGATTACAGGCACCTGCCACCAGGCATGGCTAATTTTTGTATTTTTAGTAGAGACAGGGTTTCACCATCTTGGCCAGGCTGGTCTTGAACTCTTGACCCTTGTGATCCACCCACCTTGGCCTCCCAAAGTGCTGGGATTACAGGTGTGAATGCCCAGCCAGTACCTAGGAGATTCTTAATACATATTTCCTGAATGAATGAATGGGCACTTAACTATGTTCCAGGCTCTGTGTTAAATTCCTTACATACATTTTCTCATTGAACCCTCAGAACAAAAAAATTGGCCTGTGTTGTTACATACTTTTAATGCTGAGGAGTAACTCTCTCCAAGTCACACAGACTGGAAGTACCTCAAGATATGCTGGCTCTGAATCACTAAGCTTTATCACCATCTCTCCTACTTCTTATGAGAAGCTTATAAGGAACTTACAAAAAGATGACTAATGTTAGAGGGGCAGAAATAAGTTTCCTGACCTTTAGCTGTTCTTTCACAGTGAGGGAGGAAAAGGGAGGTGCCTAAATTGGCCAAGGGGTTGAAGCTTAAAGGAGGGGTTTCTTTAGAGAGATTTGGTGCCTGCCTTAGTAGGGATAAAGAAAATTTCCCTCAAGGTTAATGTGAGAGTTTAATAAAAGGAGTGTTTACAAAACTGTAGGAAGAGTGGAGGGAAACTACAAAGCATGCTTCTGTACCCTGGAACTCATATCAGCTGAGTGCTCCTAGGACTGGAAGAGTCACCGGGGTGGAGAATGGAGCTGGACAGGTGAGGGCAAGGTATCCAGCAGAACAAAGGAAGGAGGGACCTTGGGTTTCCCAAGTATCCAGACAGATTCAATTTGCCATGCCACATAAGACCTTGTGGTGGACACTCTTGCTGCAAGTACTTGGGACTCTCCTAAGGGGTTTTTCTGGCCTCAGGAGGAAGCCTGGGCATTTGCACAGCAGGTTGAAAGTGCCACGTGAATGAACACACCAGGAGGCATCCTCACAAATGACAAACATAAGTTGGTAGACAGTTATCCAAACTTCCTCTCTTTTTGAGTAGGACCACACTGTAGCTGGTTCTTGACCATCTCCCAGAGCCTCCTGGCAGGATTGAATTCCAGTTGCCTCCAGCAGTAATTTGCTTACCAACAAACAACATGGCTTCTTTCCCTTTCCTGTTTCACTCCATCCCTCTCTCACTAGGTGTTTCTTGGGATCACCCCCAAACAAATGGCTCTCAAATCTTAGTCTTAGGGCAAGGTGCATGGCCCATGCTTGTAATCCCAGCACTTTGGGAGGCTGAAGTGGGCAGATCACTTGAGGTCAGGAGTTTGAGACCAGCCTGGCCAACATAGTGAAACCCCATCTCTACTAAAAGTACACAAATTAGCCGGGTGTGGTGGCATGCACCTGTAATCCCAGCTACTTGGGAGGCTGAGGCAGGAGAATCCCTTGAACCTGGGAGGCGGAGGTTGCAGTGAGCCGAGATCACGCCACTGCACTCCAGCCTAGGAGACAGAGTGAGACTGTCTCAAAAAAAACAACAACAGCAAAAAACCAAAATAAACAACCTTAGTCTTAGGATCCACTTTTGGGGAACTCAACCTAACAGAGACCTTGACAAAAACCTATGACAAACTGGAGTTTAGGAATAGTAAACATTCAAACAGATTTTCAAGTTAGGCCACTGGTATAATTTTGGAGGCTACAGGGCAAATTTTCCTATTGATCTGCAAAAAGCAACGGAAGCCATAGGCTTTATGTCCTTGGATTCTTTGAGTGATATTGGGAGGCAGAGAAAGGAGGGGAAGAAATGGTTATTAATCCCTGGTTTACCAAATACATTGTCAGGCTGGGCAACTTGCAGATGGTCTTGCCTGTTGTCTGGGAGGAGTGACTGAACAGCGTTCTCCCAGGCTGTCTGTGTTCTTAGTCAACTGAGTGAGGCTAAGACATGAGAAATGAAGAGCTCCAACTTTGTTTGGGTGCAATTCATTCATTCATCCATTCAATGAATATGGAGTAAACATGACAAAATGCCACGTAAGATGCTAATTATTATGCAAGTTACATTCACTAACACCACCTTAGAAAATAAAATCATGAGAATAATTAAGTTCAAATACAATAGACTAGAAAATAATCAAATTTAACCATTTATTTTCTAGGATGTTTTCTACAAGACATTATTTAGACAAACTTTTGACTGCTAAGGCCATTCTATACATTGTAAATGAAAATTTTATTGTTATAGATGTTATAAATATACATGCTTAAGAAGTTAAATTTTCTCTTTACTAAAATTCTATTAGTCTGTAAAACCATTTTGTAAGGACCAAAAATATATATCACAATTTTAGTTACACTTCATCAAATTCCTATTCGTCTGTATAAGTCACATATCTTTTTTCATCTTAATATTTTATCCTCTGGATAAAAAAACAAACAAACCAAACTTTTCAGCTTAGCTCTTTAAATTATAAACCATCTTACTTTTTTAACTATAGCATATATGGTTCAGTAAAATCATATTGTACCTCTCTTAGTAGGTAAACTTTATGTACAGACTGTTGTTTCTAAAATATATTTTACCATTTCTTAAGTTTCCACGTGTAAGTGTGTTTGCCTAATTTGAAGAAATTAGCTTTTCTCTCCAAAATTTATTATCTGAGCTCCCTATAATTTTTCAACATAACATCTTTTATTTTAGACATACATTTAAAGCACAGATTTCATCATAATTACAGAATTAAAATAACCTTTAAATATATAGACACGCTTTTTTTCTCCTCATAGAAAGTCCACTTCTATGGTATTAACTTTTTTATATTTAGTATCATGAGGTGAACTATTGAATCTCATGTTAGATTTTCACTGGGCTGACTGATACCTAAGCTATTGTAGTTTATATCTTGAATCTCATTGTTTTACATATACACTATGTGTAAATATTTTTATACACACATACACTACAGACACGCAATGTTTTTAACTTCATTTTCAATTGTTTCTTTTTATCTCTCTGATGTTCATTCTTCAGAAGTCCTCTCCTTCCTTATCTTGTAGGTATGCTTTATTTACGAGTTTTTCTAAGGGGTAGGTATGCTTTATTTATGAGTTTGACTTTTGGTTAGCATTTGTAGTGCTGATGTGTAATGTGTTATGTTAATCTACTTAGGTAGCAATTGTGTCACGTCCTTCCTGGGAAAGTCAACTGGGGCTCAGTGGAGAAGATGTGGGAATGTGTGAGAGGTGGCAGCGGCCCACATGCTCATTCTCCTTCTGAAATGTAATTTACTCTGGTTTTGGGTAAGTTACATCAGCTTTTCTTGAAAATACAAAGCTGCTTGATCATAGTTGAGGGCAAATAACTGAGTTGAATTTGTAGTTTTGCCCCTGGAATTAACCTTGGGCAGGCAACAGAAGCACATCTCTCCACTTTGTTTTGGCAGCGTGAGGAATGAGAATAATAATGCTGCCTACTTTATGAGGAGAGCCTTAATGCATTGTACTTCTGTAGAACATTGTGAGATCCTGCCACAAGGGGTGCTGGGAGGGCCTGGATGCTATAGAAATCTAAATGCCATTATTCTTGGTATTTCAAAGCTGTTCTCTCAGGGTTATAGCAGTCTCTCACCAGTGGGCTATTGAATTATTGTTATGAATAAGAACTGGAATCTAGTCAGAAGAAACTGGAAATCTTAAGTTTTTATTGTTGCCCCAGACCTGAGCTTTTTGTATACATATGTGATTCTCTAAGATTAATTAGCTTAGTTGTTCCACATAAAAACAAAAACAGACTGGAAATGATTTCTGCTGCATCTCTAACAAAACAGGATATCAGCACCCAGATGTCCAGAATGCAGACAAGGCCAGCAGGAGAGGGAAGAGGATGATGATGGCAAGATGGACATCCAGCCCCATTCTGGGAGATTTCATTATGGGTGTGGGATGTAACAGGAACAGTGGCATATGATGAATGTCAGTCATAAATCAGGCTGTTTGAAGATTGTCACTGTTGGCCTGGAGAGTCAGATTATTCTCACTGGAACTCCTGGAAAGTCTTTCTGTACTTCTGTATCTACTGCTGATCAAATTAGAAGGAAGTAGTACAACGGATGTATAAATATAATTCAGCCTCCCACCTCTACCTCCAAATAGTTATCTGCTCTGCAGGAGCCTCTTCTCCGGTATCCCTACTGCCAGCCTTTCTCAGGTTCTTCCATCCACCGTGCTACTGCCAGAACACTTTTCTCCTGGGAACAAAATCGGAATTTCTCTCTCTCTCTCGCTTGAAAACCTCTCAATTCCCAGATGTTGCCCACAAGACTCATTCCAAATTCCTCTGGCAGGAATATAAGGCCAGTTACAATTTGGCCTCAAGCTGACTCATTCCTTTTATTCCTGGCCACTGTAATCCTATGCTTTAAATTCCAGCTTCAGTAAATTTTTTAGCACTTCTTTAAACAGCAGGGCCCTTTGGTCTGCCTTTACCCAAACTGTTCCCTTCACCTGAAAACACTGTCTGCCCGAAGCCACCTTGTGGACACTCATCCTTCTGCATCCTGCTCAAAGGCTGTGCACCCTTCCTTGGAACCTCTCTCTCTCTGGTCTCCCCAGCCCTGAGTACATCCCCTCTCTACCAACCACAGAGTTAAAGTTACCTCTGCTTTTGTGAGGGTAAGAACTATGCTTCTCACTTTTTTTTTTTCTGAGACACATTCTCGCTTTGCCACCCAGGCTGTAGTACAGTGGCATGATTACAGCTTACTGTAGCCTCAACCTCCCAGTCTCAAGCAATCCTCCTACCTCAACCTCCTGAGTAGTTGGGACTATAGGCACATGCCACCACGCTTGGGCAATTTTTGTATTTTTTATAGAGATGAGCTTTTTCCATATTGCCCAGGCTGGATTCAAACTCCTGGGCTCAAGTGATCCTCCTGCCTGGGCCTCCCAGTGTGCTGGGATTATTAGGTGTGAGCCACTGTGCCCAGCACTTTTCATGTCTTACCCCCACCTCTTTAATCCTAGAGACTGGCATTTGTATTTCTGAATGAGTGGACTATATCTCAGGTTTTCCTTTTATAGGCATATTGTAAAGCATCATTCTAAAGCCTTATGGGAGATGTAGCTTCTAAAACTGAGCTTGAGCATTTTTTTTTCTTAGGTGATGAGATTAGTGGAGATGCTGGGCTCTTGTGTAGTCCTGCCACACACAGACAGGGTCCCAGTGGACTCATGTCTTGTCTCACTGAATCTCATGCAAGGCAGGCTACGTTAAGGTAAGGCTCTGATCAGGAGATGCTCAACCCATGTCGTCACAGTGTGCTAGAGGTGGAAGGGCCTCATAGAGGTCACCAGTGTCACCTTAGTTTACTAGAAAAAGAGATTGAAGCTAAAAAAGATTGAGCGATGCTCAAGGAAACACAACAAGCTATTATCATAACTGAAATTTGCACCTGAATGCCCCCACACTCCAGTGGCAGGCCATTGCTCTTTATGTCCAGCCCTGCCTCTGCTATGGTACTTTCTCAGCCACTCAGCAACCACAGGTGGGCAGGCAGAGGCCACCAAGCTAAGACTCTCTTACTCCAAATGGGAACAAGTGGATATGGAAACTTGACCATGGTATTTTTTTCTAAACTGTGGCTCTGTCACAGCAGGCTGACACCTCTTCCTCTCTAGTTTGGTTTTGCCTCCCCTGGGTTCTTACATATGCTTTCTCTAGTTTGGTTTTGCCTCTTCTCCATCTCACTACTCCTTGCTCCCTTAGCATTTGGGTATCTCAGGAACAAGGATTTAATATGTGTGTGTGTGTGCACGTGTGTGTATATATGTGTATTTCTTAATGCTTATTCAGGAAAGGTCATTACATTAAAGGTTTAAGGAGGCAAAGTACAAAGGAAATCCAATAATCTATAATAAACATCCTGTGTAACTTTCACATCGGATATTCATGTATGCATTTGTATATGTATAGAAATTTTGAATAGGGGTATTTATGCCAACACATGGGTAAATGAGGTATGAAATAAGATTGGGAGTGGAGGGAGATGTTGAACTAGAAGGTACCTAACAATGTTTTAAGGAAAAATTTTTGTGATTCTTTTAAGTGATGGAATCCAGTAGGAAAAAAACCTAAAAGTTTTCACTAGAGCAGTTTGATGGTTTTTCTTTTGGTTAAAATGGAAATAAAAACTAGGCCAAACACTTTTTTTGTGGGAGTGGGGTGGTACATGAGCTTGGGGTGTTTATCAGTTTTATTCATGGCAGCGACATGTTCCCTCTCCTCTCTTATAAACACTCCCTATACTCATTTATTAGCATAACATAAAGGACCTCCAGTGAAAGCTTGCCCTTTGGTCTCTGACATAGAGAGATCATCACAGCACTCCTCCACACAGAGGGAACACTTAATACACACTGAGATCCTTGATTGTCTTCCTTGGTCCTCATCAGGGTCCAGCATTAAAAGCAATTGAACACATTTCCAGAGTGTGCCTTCCAGTGTCCAAAATTAGTGTCACAACTAAGTTTACATTTGTGACAAGATCAAATGTTATAGGATTTATAATAATTAATTATAATTACGTATAGCTAATATCTTCAGACAAATTGGGTAAGATGTGTTTAAAGGGTTCAAAAGGAAAACAGAAAAAACCCAACTTTAAGAACCTAAAATAGTCCCATAATTTACACAAGATTACACAATTGATAAATGCTTAATAGAAATTAGAAATGTCCTTTGAATATTAAAATATTCTTTAAAAGTTTAATTATGGTCCTATAAGAGAACATATATGAGAATGGTTAAAAAATATCTTAAAATTTCAGAGATAGGCAAAAATGCAAACAGAGCTTAAGAACAGTTCTAAAGACATTAAAAAAGGCACTAAGAGTTCAACAATCTGATTATTTGATTTGAGCATCAGGTGAATGGGTTTTAGGAGGAAAGGCAAGACTGAAAAACTCTCTCAAGTGTACAGATGAAAAGCTATGAATGTATTGCTACTTACATTTGACATTTCTTTCTTTTCTTTCTTTTTTTTCTTTTTTTTTAGATGGTGTCTTGCTCTGTCACCCAGGCTAGATTGCAGTGGTGTGATCTCAGCTCACTGCAGCCTCCTCCTCCTGGGTTCAAGTGATTCTCGTGCTTCAGCCTCCCGAGTAGCTAGGATTATAGCATGTGCCACCATGCCTGGCTAATTTTTGTATTTGTAGTAGAGATGGGGTTTTCATCATGTTGGCCAGGCTGGTCTTGAACTCCTGAACTCAGGTGATCTGTCTCCTTGGCCTCCCAAAGACCTGGGATTACAGGCATGAGCCACTGCACCTGGGTGTATTTGACATTTCTTTTGATAATTCTTTTGCTTGTCTTCCATCTGTCCCCCCTTTCATTTCTCGACAGGCAATATCAAACCTTCAACATCCTCTATGCCTCTACCAACTTCCAGTGGTTGTAGTAGGAAAAAAAAAACGGCCCCCTAAAAAGGTCCACATTATAATCCCTGATCATGTGAATGTGTTAGGTTATGTTATAGCAAAAGGGAATTAAAGTTGTAGATAGAATTAAGGCTGCTAATCACGTGACTTTGAAAAGTGAGACTGATCCTTATAAGTGGAAGA
>NC_000003.12:91291218-91345078 GCF_000001405.40 Homo sapiens | reverse complement strand
TAATAAATGTATTGTTTCAAGTCACTATGTTCGTGGCAACTTGTTAGAGTAGCAAAAGGAAATAAATATAGTGGTCTTCAAATATTTTTGCTAAGATAATGCAAAAAAATTTTTATTTTTTGAGACAGGGTCTTGCTCTGTCACCCAGGCTGGTATGCAGTGGTGCAATTATGGCTTGCTGCAACCTCCACATCTGCTCCAGCGACCCTCCCACCTTAGCCTCTTGAGTAGCTGCAATTACAGGTGTGCACCACCATGTCTGGCTTTTTTTTTTTTTTTTTTTTTTTTTTTTTTGTAGAGATGAGGTTTTACCATGTTGCCCAAGCATCAAAGAAATTTTGAACAAACACATACCTCTTCAAGTTTTCATGCAAATATCTAAAAATGTTTCAACATAAGTTTAAATAGTTGAAAAGGATATGATTTTAGTGCATAGATATATTGTGTTTAAAACCTAAACCTAAAAGAAAAAGAAGGAATAAAAAAAGGCTTACAAGGTTTATAAACCAGCATCGAAGGAACAAATATTTGAGCTACAGGAATTAAAGAAGGAGAAGAGAGAAACAAAGGGTTAGAAAACTTATTTAAAGAAATAATAGCAGAACACATTTCCAACTTGGAGATATAAATATCTAGGAAGAGGAAAGTCAAAAATGTCCAATCAGGCTGGGCGCGGTGGCTCACGCCTGTAATCCCAGCAGTTTGGGAGGCCATGGTGGGTGGATCACGAGGTCAGGAGATCAAGACCATCCTGGTTAACGTGGTGAAACCCCGTCTCTACTAAAAATACAAAAAATTAGCCAGGTGTGGTGGTGGGCACCTGTAGTTCCAGCTACTCAGGAGGCTGAGGCAGGATAATGGCATGAACCTGGGAGGCGGAGCTTGCAGTTGAGCCGAGATCGCACCATTGCACTCCAGCCTGGGTGACAGAGAGAGACTCCATCTCAAAAAAAAAAAAAGTCCAATCGGATTTAATCCAATTCCAATACCACACCAAGATATATTAAAATTGAATTGTAAAATATCAAAGACAAAAGAGAGGATCCCAAAAGCAGCAAGAGAAAACAAGCAAGTCACATATAAAGGAGGTCCAATAAAGCTAGCAACAGACTTCTCAACAGAAGCCTTACAAGCCAGGATAGAGGAGGATGATATATTCTGAGTGCTTAAGAAAAAAAGAAAAAAAACCTGTCAACCAAGAATACTGTACCCGGCAAAGCTATCCTTCAGAAATGAAAGATAAAAGCCTTTCTCAGACAGACAAAAGCTGAGGGAGTTCATCACCCCAGACCAGTCTTAAGAAAGGTTAAAGTGACTAATTAGCATCCCTTTCTTCCAGTTTAAAGAACACGAGAATAGTAAGTCCTTACCCGCCAATAATTACCTGGCATATCCAATCAAAAGACACAGAGTGACTTAGTAGATTAAAAAAAGGACCCAACTATATGCTACTTACAAGAGACTCACTTCAAACTTAAGTGCACACATAGACTGAAGCAAAGGGATAGAAAAAGATATTCTATGCAAATATAAACCAAAAGAGAGCAGGAGTAGTTATACACATATCAGATAAAACAGAGAGTTAAAAGCTGTAAAAAGAAACAAAGGAGGTTATTATATAATGATAAAGGGGTCAATTCAGGAAAAGGGTATAACAATTATAAATATATATACACCCAACATCAGAACACCTAAATATATAAAGCAAATATTAATAGATCTGAGGAGAGAGATTTTTATAAAATAGTAACAGACATCAACAACCCACTTTCAGCAATGAATAGATTATCCAGCCACAAGACATTAATATAGAAACATTGAAAGTAAATGACCCTATAGACCAAATGGACCTAAAAGACATATACAGAACACTGCATCCAACAGCTGCAGAATACACATTCTTCTTAATTGGCATGGCACATTCTCCAGGATAGATCAGATGGATCATATGGTAGGCCACAAAATAAGTCTTAATAAATTTAAAGATTGAAATTGTATCAGGCATCTTTTCTGACCACACTGGTATAAAATTAGAAATCAGTAACAGAAGTTTTGGAAAATTCAAAAATTAATCAATATGCTCCTGAATAACCAATGGGTCAAAGAAGAAATTGAAAGGGAAATTAAAAAACATCTTGAGACAAGTGAAAATAAATGAACAATATATAAAAGCTTCTGAAACACAGCAAAAGCAGTTCTGAAAGGGAAGTCTATGGCAATGAATGCCTACCTCAAAAAAGAAGAAAAATCTCCAAAAAACTACACTACCCCTCAAGGAACTAGAAAAAGGAGAAAAAACTAAGCCCCAAAATTAGTCAAAGGAAGGAAATAATGATCAGAGCAGAAATAAATAAAATAGAGACTAGAAAAACAATAGAAAAGATCAAGGAAGATAAAAGCTAATTTTTTAATCCTTTCCCCATCTGCCTCAAGAAAATTTGCCAGTGGCACTTGCAGCTGCAGAGTTTATCCAGAAATAACTGCCATGACATATCTTGCTTTTATTGTTATTTTTGCATTACTCTACTATATCAACTTTGGAAACAAAAGACATCATCCTATTTTAGCAGTGATTTTCCATTTACAAAATATGGTAATTCTCAATTGCTGAAAATACCTAATCCTAGAAAAGATAGCATTACTACACATGATGTTAGTGTCATTTTCAGTTTTTATTTGATGAATCAGATTTTTCTAAAATAGATGATTCTGATGATTCAGAAGATTCTGATGTTAGTTCTGTTTAGAAATAACTCCAAGAAAAGTTTTTGTATTTCATTTTCACATTGAAAATTAGTCACATTTACTTCAGCCTCAAAGAGGGTACTTATGTAAAATTAAATGAGTGCTGGTAGCAAGTGGTACTTTTTTTTCCTAATTGAGCAAAGGGTTAAAAAGAGAAGCAAAATTGACAAATCTTTAGCTAGATTAAGAAAAAAAACCTGAGGACTCAAAATGAGTAAGAGGGAGAGATCACAACTGATATCACAGAAATACAAAAAATTATAAAAGACTACTCTGTATAATTATATCTCAACAGATTAGATAGCCTGAAACGAATGAATAAATTCTTACACACATTCAACCTACTATGAAATAGAAAATCTGAACACATCAATAACAAGTAAGACTGAATCAGTAATATAAAGTGTTCCCTCAATGAAAAACCCATACCTTGATGGATTCCTAACTGAATTCTGACAATCACTTGAAGAAAACCTAATTCCAATCCTTCTCAAACTCTTCCAAAATATTGAAGAAGAGGAAATATTTCCAAACTTTTTACAAGGCCAACATTACCCTGATAGTAAGGCCAGACAAGGATACTACAAACAATAAAATTACAGGTCAATATCTCTGATGAACATGAATGTGAATAAATATGGTACATCAGGAGAGCTGTCAAGATGGTCAAATAGGAACAGTTCAGGTCTGTAGCTCCCAGCGAGATTGATGCAGAAGGTGGGTGATTTCTGCATTTCCAACTGAGATACACAGTTGATCTCACTGGGACTGGTGGGACAGTGGGTGCAGCCCACGGAGGGCAAGCTGAAGCAGGGTGGGGTGTGGCCTCATCCGGGAAGCTCAAGGGGTTGGGGGATTTCCCTTCCCTAGTCAAAGGAACTTGTGAGAGACTGTATCAGGAGGAATGGTACAATCTGGCCCAGATACTGTGCTTTTCCATTGGTCTCCACAACCAGCAGACCAGGAGATTCCCTCTGGTGCCTGGCTTGGTGGGTACCACCCTCACAGAGCCTAGCAAGCTAAGATCCACTGGCTTGAAATTCTTGCTGCTAGCACAGCAGTCTGAGGTGGAACTGGGATGCTTAAGCTTGGTGGGGGGAGGGGCACCTGCCAATGCTGAAGCTTGAGTAGGCTGTTTTACCCTCACAATGTAAACAAAGCTGCTGGGAAGTTTGAACTGGGTGGAGACCACCGCAGCTCAGCAAGACCAACTGCCTCTCTAGATTCCTCCTCTCTAGGCAGGGCATCTCTGAAAAAAAGGCAGCAGCCCCAGTCAGGGACTTATAGATAAAACCCCCATCTCCCTAGGACAGAGCACATGGGGGAAGGAGCAGCTGTGGGCACAGCTTCAGCAGACTTAAACATCCCTGCCTGACAGCTCTGAAGAGAGCAGTGGATCTCCCAGCACAGTGTTCAAGCTCTGATAAGGAACAGACTGTGTCCTCAAGTGAGTCCCTGACCCCTGTGTATCCTGACTGGGAGACACCTCCTAGTAGGGACCAAAAGACCCCATATACAGGAGACTTCTGGCTGGCATCTAGCAGGTGCCCCTCTGGGATGAAGCTTCCAGAGGAAGGAACAGCCAGCAATCTTTGTTGTTCTTCAGGCTCTGCTGGTGATACGTAGGCAAACAGGGTCTGAAATGGACCCCCAGCAAACTCCAGCAGACCTGCAGCAGAGGGGCCTGACTGTTAGAAGGAAAACTAACAGAAGGGAATAGTAACATCAACATCAACAAAAAGGATGTCCATTCAGAGACCCCATCCAAAGGTCACCAATAGGAAAGACCAAAGATAGGTAAATCCATGAAGATGCGGAGAAACCAGTGCAAAAAAGCTGAAAATTCCAAAAACCAGAATGCCTTTTCTCCTCCAAAGGATCACAACTTGCCAGCAAGGGAACAAAACTGGATGGAGAATGAGTTTGACAAATTGCCAGAAGTAGGCTTCAGAAGGTGGGTAATAACAACCTCCTCTGAGCTAAAGGAGCATGTTCTAACCCAAAGCAAGGAAGCTAAGCACCTTGAAAAAAAGGTTAGAGGAATTGCTAACTAGAATAACCAGTTTAGATAAGAACATAAATGACCTGATGGAGCTGAAAAACACAGCATGAGAACTTCGTGAAGCATACACAAGTATCAATAGGTGAATTGATCAAGTGGAAGAAAGGATATCAGAGAGTGAAGATCAACTCAATGAAACAAAGTGAGAAGACAGCATTAGAGAAAAAAAGAGTGAAAAGAAATGAACAGAGCCTCCAAGAAATAAGGTCTTTGTGAAAAGACCAAATCTACGTTTGATTGGTGTTCCTGAAAGTGATGGGGAGAATGGAACCAAGTTGGAAAACACACTTCAGGATATTATCCAGGAGAACTTCCCCAACCTAGTAAGGCAGGCCAACATTCAAATTCAGGAAATACAGAGAACACCACAAAGATACTCCTTGAGAAAAGCAACCCCAAGACACATAATTGTCAGATTCACCAAGGTTGAAATGAAAGAAAAAATGGTAAAGGCAGCCAGAGAGAAAGGTCAGGTTACCCACAAAGGGAAGCCCATTAGACTTACAGTGGATCTCTCGGCAGCAACCCTACAATCAAGAAGAGAGTGGGGGCAATATTCAACATTCTTAAAGAAAAGAATTTTCAACCCAGATTTTCAACCCAGCCAAACTAATCTTCATAAGCAAAGAAGAAATAAAATCTTTAACAGACAAGCAAATGCTGAGAGATTTTGTCACCACCAGGACTGCCTTACAAGAGCTCCTGAAGGATGAACTAAACATGGAAAGGAACAACTGGTACCAGCCACTGCAAAAACATACGAAATTGTAAAGACCATCAACACCATGAAGAAACTACATCAACTAATGGGCAAAATAACCAGCTAGCATCATGATGACAGGATCAAATTGATACATAACAGTATTAATCTGAAATGTAAAGGGGCTAAATGCCCCAATTAAAAGACAAAGACTGGCAAATTGGATAAACAGTCAAGATTCCTCTGTGTGCTGTATTCAGGAGACCCATCTCATATGCAAAGACACACATAGGCTCAAGATAAAGGGATGGAGCAATATTTACCAAGTGAATGGAAAGCAAAAAAAAGCCTGATAAAACAGACTTTAAACCAACAGAGATAAAAAAAAAAGCCCAAGAAGGGCATTACATAATGGTAGAGTGATCAATGCAACAAGAAGAGCTAACTGTCCTAAATATATATGCACCCAATACAGGAGCAACCAGATTCATAAAGCAAGTTCTTAGAGACCTACAAAAAGACTTAGACTCCTACACAAGAATAGTGGGAGACTTTAACATCCCACTGTCAATATTAGACAGATCAATGAGACAGAAAATTAATAAGGATATCCAGGACTTGAATTTAGCTCTGGACCAAGTGGACCTAACAGACATCTACAGAACTCTCCACCCCAACTCAACAGAATATACATTCTTCTCAGCACCACACTGCACTTACTCTAAAATTGACCACATAATTGGAAGTAAAACACTCCTCAGCATATGCAAAAGAATGGAAATCATAACAAACAGTCTCTCAGACCACAGTGCAATTAAATTAGAACTCAGGATTAAGAAACTCACTCAAAACCACACAACTACATGGAAACCGAACAACCTGCTCCTGAATGACTATTGGGTAAATAACAAAATTAAGGCAGAAATAAAGATGTTTTTCAAAACCAATGAGAACAAAGACACAACATACGAGAATCTCTGGGACACAGCTAAAGCAGTGTGCAGAGGGAAATTTATGGCATTGAATGCCCACAAGAGAAAGCAGCAAAGATCTAAAATTGACAGCCTAGCATTAAAATTGAAAGAACTAGAGAAGCAAGAGCAAACACATTCAAAAGCTAGCAGAAGACAAGAAATAACTAAGATCAGAGCAGAACTGAAGGAGATAGAGACACAAAAACCCCTTCAAAAAAATCAATGAACCAGGAGCTGGTTTTTTGAAAAGATCAACAAATTAGATAGACTACTAGCCAGACTAAGAAGAAAAGAGAGAAGAATCAAATAGATGCAATAAAAAATAATAAAGGGGATATCACCACTGATCCCACAAAAATACAAGGTAACCATCAGAGAATACATAAACACCTCTACACAAATAAACTAGAAAATGTAGAAAAAATGGGTACATTCCTGGACACATACACCCTCCCAAGAATATACCAGGAAGAAGTCAAATCCCTGAATAAACCAATAACAAGTTCTGAAAATTGGGGCAGCAATTAATTACCTACCAACCAAAAAAAAAGTCCAGGACCAGATGGATTCATAGCTGAATTCTACCGGAGGTACAAAGAGGAGCTGGCACCATTCCTTCTGAAACTATTCCAAACAATAGAAAAAGAGGGAATCCTCCCTAACTCATTTTATGAGGCCAGCATCATCTGATAACAAAACCTGGCAGAGACACAACAAAAAAAGAAAATTGTATGCCAATATCAGTGATGAACATCAATGTGAAAATCCTCAAGAAAATACTGGCAAACTGAATGCAGCAGCCCATCAAAAAGCTTATCCACCATGATCAAGTCGGCTTCATCCCTGGGATGCAAGTCTGGTTCAACATACACAAATCAATAAAGATAATCCATCACATAAACAGAACCAACTACAAAAACCACATGATTATCTCAATAGATGCAGAAAAGGCCTTCGATAAAGTTCAACACCAATTCATGCTAGAAAGTCTCAATAAACTAGGTATTGATGGAACATATCTCAAAATAATAAGAGACATTTATGACCAACCCACAGCCGATATCATACTGAATGGGCAAAAACTGGAAACATTCCCTTTGAAAACCGGCACAAGACAAGGATGCCCTCTCTCACCACTCCTATTCAACATAGTATTGGAAGTTCTGGCTGGGGCAATGAGGCAAGATAAAGAAATAAAGGGTATTCAATTTGGAAAAGATGAAGTAAAATTGTCTCTGTTTGCAGATGACCTGACTGTATATTTAGAAAACCCCATTGTCTCAGCCCAAAATCTTAAGCTGATAAGCAACTTCAGCAAAGTCTCAGGATACAAAATCAATGTGCAAAAAATCACAAGCATTCCTATACGCCAATAATAGATAAACAGAAGGCCAAATCATGAGTGAACTCCCATTCACAATTGCTACAAAGAGAATAAAATACCTAGGAGTACAACTTACAAGGGATGTGAAGGACCTTATCCAGGAGAACTACAAACTACTGCTCAAGGAAATAAGAGGACACAAACAAATGGAAAAACATTACATGCTCATGGATAGGAAGAATCAATATCATGAAAATGGCCACGCTGTCCAAAGTAATTTATAGATTCAATGCTATCCCCATCAAGCTACCACTGACTTTCTAAACAGAACTAGAAAAAACTACTTTAAATTTCATATGGAGCCAAAAAAGAGCCCACATAACCAAGACAATCCTAAGCAAAAAGAACAAAGCTGGAGACATCATGCTACCTGACTTCAAACTATACTACAATGCTACAGTAACCAAAACAGCATGGTACTTGAACAAAAAGAGACCTATGGAACAGAATAGAGGCCTCAGAAATAACGCCACACATCTACAACCATCTGATCTTTGACAAACCTGACAAAAACAAGCAATGGGGAAAGGATTCCCTATTTAATAAATGGTGTTGGGAAAACTGGCTACCTGTATGCAGAAAGCTAAAACTTTACAAAATTAACTCAAGATGGATTAAAGACTTCAATGTAACACCTAAAGCCATAAAAACCCTAGAAGAAAACCTAGGCAATACGTTTTAGGACATAGTCATGGGCAAAGACTTCATGACTAAAACACCAATTGGCAACAATGGCAGCAATGGCAACAATAGCCAAAATAGACAAATGGGATCTAATTAAACTAAAGAGCTTCTGCACAGCAAAGAAACTATCATCAGAGTGAACAGGCAACCTACAGAAGGGAGAAAATTTTTGCAATCCATCCATCTGACAAAGGGCTAATATCCAGAATCTACAAAGAACTTAAACAAATTTACAAGAAAAAAACAACCCCATCAAAAATTAGGCAAAGGATATGAACAGACACTTCAAGAGAGTTATGCAACTAACAAACCTATGAAAAAATGCTCATCATCACTGGTCATTAGAGAAATGCAAATCAAAACCACAATGAGATACCATCTCATGCCAGTTAGAATGGTGATCATTAAAAAGTCAGGAAACAACAGATGCTGGAGAGGATGTGGAGAAATAGGAATGCTTTTACACTGTTGGTGGGAGTGTAAATTAGTTCAACCATTGTGGAAGACAGTGTGGCAATTCCTCAATGATCTAGAACTAGAAATACCATTTGACCCAGCAATCTCATTACTGGGTATATACCCAAATGATTATAAATCATGCTACTATAAAGACACATGCACAGTTATGTTTAATGTAGAAATATTCACAATAGCAAAGACGTGGAACCAACCCAAATGCCCATCAATGTTATACTGGATAAAGAAAACGTGGCATATATACACCATGGAATACTAAGCAGCCATAAAAAAGAATGAGTTCATGTTTTTTACAGGAACATGGATGGAGCTGGAAACTATCATTCTCAGCAAACTAACACAGGCATAGAAAACCAAACACCACTTGTTCTCACTCATAAGTGGGAGTTGAACAATGAGAACACATGTGCACAAGGAGGGGAACATCTCACACTGGGGCCTGTCAGGGGATGGCAGGCAAGGGGAGGGATAGCATTAGGAGAAACACCTAATGTAGATGATGGGTTGATGGTTGCAGCAAACCACTGTGGGACATGTATACCTGTGTAACAAAACTGAACACTCTGCACATGTACCCCAGAACTTAAAGTGTAAAAAAAAGAAAAAAAAGTATAATAAAAAAAGAAATAATATACTTTATAATAAAGTATAATAAAAAAAGAAAAAAAATATTACACATCACATTAACAGAATAGAATGCAGGTCAAAAAATACAATCTACAAAATATAATAGATGCAGCAAAAGCATTTGAAAAAATTCAACATATTTTCATGGTAACTGTTAACAAAAAACTTTTAACAAGTTTAGAAGGAATGCACCTCAACACAATAAAGACCACATTTGACAAGCCCATTGAAAACATTATACTCATTGGTGGAAAGTTGAAAGCTTTTCCTTTAAGATCAGGAACAAGACAAGGATCCCTCTCATCATCTCTTTTCAACATACTATTGAACTTCTAGCCAGAGAAATTAGACAAGAGAAAGAAATAAAAGAATTCAAATTGGAAAAAAAGAAGGTAAATTGGATCCGTTTGCCAGTGAGATGATCTTATATAGAGAGAACACTAAGAATTCCCTTAAAAACTAATTAGTTAGAATAAATTCAGTAAAGTTGCAGAATAGAAAAATCAACATACAAAGAATCAGTAGCATTTCTATACATTAGGAATGATCAATCCAAAAAAAAAAAAAAGGAAAATGAAAAAAATCCTATTTGTGATAGCTACCAAGAATAAAATACATAGAAATAAATTTACCCACGGAGGTGAAAGACATGTATACTGAAAACTCTAAAATACTGGTGAAATAAATTGATGAATACATAAATAAATGAAAAGATATCCCATATTCATGGAATTGAAGAATATTGTTAAAACATTCATACTATCCAAAGTGACCTACAGTGAATGCAATTGCTATCACAATTCCAATAACATTTTTCACAGAAATAGAAATAAATCCTAAAATTTATATGAAACCAGAAAAGACTCCTAATAATCAAAGTAATGTTGAGCAAAAAGAACAAAGCTTGACGTATTGTACTATACTATCTGACTTGAGACTATACCACAAAGCCACAGTAATCAAAACAACATGGCACTGGCATAAAAACAGATACATAGACCAATGGAACACAACAGCAAGAACAGAAATATAACTACACGTTTACAGTCAATGGATTTTTAATAAAGGTGCCAAGAAGAAACAATAAGGAAACATAATATTTTCAATGAATGGTCTTAGAAAAACTGTATTTCCACATGCAGAATAATTAAATTAGAAAAAAATATTACAGGCCCAATCTCATACCATATATGTTTTCCTCCAAGATGAGAGATGAGGCTTTTAGTGAGCCTCAACCACTTGTAAATAACAAGGTAGTGCATAAAGAACAACTCTGTGAAAAATAACTGCATTTTTGATAAGGAAAATGGGAATCCACTGGAATTGTGTAGAACACTACAGACCCAGGGGAGGAGAATGTGGGCAAACAGCTCCTGTGATGGTGTCCAGCTGATAAAAGTGAGTAAATTTCCATTAAGTGAGAGATAAAGAGTGCCTCTCTCTGTGACTCACCCTTCCATTGAGAATCCAAGCAACCCAGAGGCTTGGAAGTGCTGAGAGAGAAAGACTTGGAAAAGCTGCAGGCATTTTCCTGTATCTGTGACTAAGAGCAAAATGTCATTTGTTTTTTTTTTTTTTTTTAATAAGATTTAGTCTTGCTCTGATGCCTGGGCTGGAGTACAATGGTGTGATCTTGGCTCACTGCAACCTCTACCTCCCAGGTTCAAGTGATTCTCCTGCCTCAGCCTCCTGAGTAACTGGGACTACAGGTGCCCACCACCACGCCTGGCTAATTCTTGTATTTTTTCGTAGAGACAGGGTTTCACCATGTTAGCCAGTCTTGTCTCAAACTTTAGTTCACAACTGATCTGCCCCCACTCGGCCTCCCAAAGTGCTGGGGTTACAGGCATAATCCACCACACCTGGCCCAAGATGCCATTTTTAATCTGAGTACACACAAAGTTAACCATTCTTTGGCAACCTGGCAGCATGGCCATACAGGCATTATAGTCTCAGGCCAAAGACTGAGGTGTTTGTTCTGGAGCCAGGTAGGTGCCTCCACAGCCAGAAATGTGGAAAGCATCTCAGCAGAAGGTGCTGGAATTGTGTTCTCGCTGGTCACAGTCCTGGGGTGGGAGGACAGCTGCTATGGCTACAGTTTCTCCCCGGTGATGAGACCTGCAGCTATAGCCAGCATGGAGATCGAAACTGGTCATGTGTGTCATTGCTGGGTGCCCAGCCTGCTTCCCTGAGATCGTGGTGCAGTGGGACCCTGTATTAGTCTGTTCTTACACTGCTATAAAGAAATACTTTATAAAATACCCAGCCAACTTGGTAACTCATGAAGAAAAGAGATTTAATTGGCTCACAGTTCTGCAAGCTGTACAGAAAACATGGCTGGGAAGGCCTCAGAAAACTTACAATCATAGCAGAAGGCAAAGAGGAAGCAGGTCTGTATTACATGACTGGAGCAGGAGGAAGGAAGGGAGGAGAGGCGTTACACAGTTTTAAGCAAACAGATCTCGTGAGAACTTACTATCATGAGTACAGCACCAAAGGGGAAATATGTTCTCATAATCCAATCACCTCCCACCAGGTGCCTACTCCAATGTTGGGATTATAATTTGACATGTGATTTGGGTGGAGACACAGACCCAAACCATATTATTCCATCCCTAGCCCCTCCAATATCCCATGTCCTTCTCACATTTCAAAATACAATAATGCCTTCCAAAAGCTACCCCAAAGCCTTAACTCATTCCAGCATTAACTCAAAAGTCCAAAGTCCAAAGCCTCATCTAATACAAGGCTAGTCCCTTCCACCTATGAGCCTGTAAAATCAAAAACAAATTAGTTACTTCATGGATACAATGGGGGTACAGGCATTGGGTAAATACTCCCTTTCCAGATGGGAGAAACTGGGGAGAAGAAAGGGCTACAGGCACTATGCAAATCTGAAACCCAGCAGGGCAGTTATTAAATCTTAAAGCTCCAAAATAATCTCTTTCGACTCTATGTCTCACACTCAGGGCACACTGGTGTGAAGGGTAGGCTCCCAAGGCCTTGGGCAGCTCCACCTGAGGCTCTACAGGGTACAGTCCCTGAGGCTGCTTTCAGGGGTGGCATTTAGTGCCTGTGTCTTTTCCAGGTGCAGGGTACAAGCTGTCAGTGTATCTAGCCCTCTTCCCACAGGTCCAGTAGGCAGTGTCCCATTGGGGACTCTGTGTGGAGGCTTCTGCTTGGTGTTCCAGGCTTTTCCATACATCTTCTGAAATCTAGGCAGAGGCTCCCAAACCTCAACTTTTACAGTCTGTGCAGCTGCAGGCTTAACACCACATAGAAGCTGCTAAGGTTTGTGGCTTGAATCCTCAGAAGCAGCAGCCTGAGATGTACCTAGGATCCTTTGAGCCACAGCTGGAACTGGAGCAGCCAGGATGCAGGGAGCAGTGTTTTGAGGCTGCACAGGAAAGCAGGGCCCTGTGTCTGGCCCATGAAACCATTCTTCCTCCTTAGGCTTTGGGGCCCGTGATTGGAGGGGCTGCTGTGAGGTCTCTGATGTGTCTTCAAGGGCTTTTTTTCCCCATTGTCTTGGCTACTAGTTCTTGCCTTCCTTTTAGTTATGCAAATTTCTTCAGCTGGCTTGAATTTCTTCCCAGAAAATGGGTTTTTCTTTTCTACTGCATGGCCAGGCTGCAAGGTTTTCAAACATTTATGATCTGCTTCCCTTTTACATATAAGTTCCAGTTTCAGATCATTTCTTTGCTCATGCATATGAGCATAGGCTTTTAGAAGCAGCCAGGATTTAGCAGTTCAGGTTTACCTTGAACACTTTGCTGCTTAGAAATGTCTTCCACCAGGTACTCTAAATCATCTCTCTCAAGTTCAAAATTCTACAGATCCCTAGAGCTGGGGCACAATGCCACCAATCTCTGCTAAAGCATATCAAGAGTGACCTTTACTCCAGTTCCCAATAAGTTTCTCATTTCCATCTGAGACCTCCTCATCCTAGACTTCACCATCCATATCACTATCTGCATTTTGGTCACAACCATTCAGCAAATCTCTAGGAATTCCAAACTTTCCCTCATCTTCCTGTCTTCTTCTGAGCCCTTTGAACTGTTCAAACTTCTGCCCATTACCCAGTTCCAAAGCCACTTCCACCACATTTTCAGGTATCTTTATAGCAATGCCCCATTCCTGGTACCAATTTTCTATATTAATCTGTTCTTGCATTGCTATAAAGAAATACCTGAGACTGGGTAATTTACAAAGAAAGAGGTTTAATTGATTCACAGTTCTGCAGGCTGTAGAGGAAACGTTGCTGGGAAGGCCTTGGTAAACTTACAATCATAGTGGAAGGTGAAGGGGAGGCAGGCATGTTTTACATGGCTGAAGCAGGAGGAAGAGAGAGAGAGGGGAGGTGTCGCACACTTTTAAACAACCAAATCTCGAGATAACTCACTCACTGTCATGAGAAGAGCACCAAATGGGAAATATGCCTTCAAGATTTACTTACCTCCCACCAAGCTCCACCTCCAATATTGAGGATTACAGTTCGACTTGAGATTTGGGTGGGAACACAGACCCAAACCATATTAGAATCTGGTGTGCTCCACCCCCCAGGTAAATCTCTAGACATTTGAAGTACTCCTTCACCTGGATCAGCAGGTGGATCTTCTTGTGTGTAGATCATGGTGCAGTAGGGCCCTCTCTACTCCACACCTAAACATTTTGGACATCATCCAAATTGCCAGGCATTTGAAGCACTTGTTCAAAAGAACTAGCAGCTTCAGCCATGCTGCCCTTCCTGCACAAAGATCCTGGTGCAGGGGAGGCCTTTGTGCTTCATACTGAGGCAGATCATCAGGCATTTGGAGCACCTGCTCAACTGGGTGGCAACCCAAGTCACCCCATCCATTCTGTGCAGAGATGAATAAAACTGGACTCCTACCTCTCACTATATACAAAAATTAACCCAAGAAGGATTAAATATTTAAATGTAAGGCCTCAAAGTATAAGGACCCTAGCAGAAAATCTAGGAATACCATTTTATATATGAGCCTTGGGATAGAATTAGTGACTAAGTCCTCAAAAGCAATTCCAACAAAACCAAAAATTGATAAGTTGAACCTAATTAAACTAAAAGGCTTCTGAATAGCAAAAGAAAACTCTCAACAGTAAATAGACAACCTACAGAATGAAAGAAAATATTTGCAAACTATGCATATGACAAAGTCTAATATCCAGAATCCATAGAGAACTTAAACTGTTGAAAAAGCAACAAGAGCAAAACTCCATCTCAGAACAATATGTAGGCAAAAGACATGGACACTTCTCAAAAGAAGACATACAAGTGGCCAGCAGACATATGAAAAAATGCTCATCACTAAACATCAGAGAGAAATGCAAATTGAAACCACAATGAGATATTTTTTCACACCAGTTACAATGGCTATTATTAAAAAGTGAAAAAACAACAGATTCTGGGCAAGGCTATGGAGAAAATAAAATGTTTATACATTGTTGGTGGAAATATAAATTAGTTCAGCCACCGCAGAAAGCAGTTTGGACATTTCTCAAAGAACTAAAAACAACTACCATTCCACCCAGGTTTATATCCAAAAGAAAATAAATCATTCTACCAAAAAGACACACATACTCTTATGTTCATGGAATCAACCTAGATGCCCATCCACAGTGGATTGGACAAAAAAAAAATGTCATACATATATACCATGGAATACCATGCAGCCATAAAAAATGAAATCATGTTCTGTGCAGCAATGTGGATACAGCTGGAGGCCATTATCCTAAGTGAATTAACACAGGAACAGAAAACCAAATACCACATATTGTCACTTATAAATGGGAGCTAAACACTTGGTAATTATGGATATAAAGATGGCAACAATAGACATGGGGGATTTCTAGTGGAGAGATGGAAGGAGTTGTCAAGGGCTGAAAAACTATCTATTGGGTACTATTCTCAGTATCTGGGTGAAAAGATCATTCATACCCCAAACCTCAGCATCACACAATATACCCAGGTAACAAACCTGCACATATACCCCCGAATCTAAAATAAAATATAAAATTATTTAAAAAATATATAGCTCAGGGAAAAATCAACTCAAAATAGATTAAGGAATTGAATGTAAACCCAGAAATTATAAAACTACAAGAAATCATAGACAAAATCTTCATGACATTGGTCTTGGTGATGATTTTTTTTTACAGACTCCAAAGGCACAGGTAACAAAAGCACAGTTAGACAAATGGCATTACATCAAACTAAAAAACGTCTACACAGCCAAGGAAATATTCAACATGTGAAGAGACCACCTAGCAAATGAGAGAAAATATTTGACACATGAGAAGGGGTTAATATCCAAAATATATAAGTAACTCTAACAATTCAATAGCAGGAAAACAATCTGATTTTAAAATGGGCAAAGTACTTGAACAGACATTTCTCAAAAGACCAAATACAGTAAATAGGTACATGAAAAAATGCTGAACATTACTAATCAATTATAAAATGCAAATTAAAACCGCAATGATCACTTTACAAATATTAGAGTAGGTATTATTAAAAAGAAAAAAGATAAATGTTGGCAAGAATGCAGATTAACGGGAATTCTTGTACACTTGGTGGGAATGTAAATTAGTTAGAGTCATTATGAAAAACAGCATGGTGGTTCCTCAAAAACAATATACATATGTAACTACCATATGATCCAGCTATCACACTACTGGATACATATTCAGAGGACATGAAATCAGTATGCTGAAGAGATCAGCACTCTCATATTCATTGCACCATTATTCACAATAACTAAGATATGGAATCAGCCTAAGTGTTCATTAATGGATGAATGGATTTAAAAAATATCATATATATACACAATGGAATACTATTCAGTCATAAAAAAGAAGGAAATTCTGTCATTTGCAGAAACATTAATGGAACTGGAGGTCATTATATTAAATTAAATAAGCCAGGCATAAAAAGACAAATACTGCATGACCTCACTTATATGTGGAATCTAAAAAAGTTGAACTCATAGAAACAGAGAGCAGAATGGTGGTTACCGGGGCTGGGGTGGAGGAAGTTAGGGAGATGTTGGTCAGAGGACACAAAATTTCAGTGAAGAGGAGTAAATTCAGGAGATCTACCTGATGTAAAACCTGGTGACTACAGTTAATATGAACACATTATATTCTCAAAAATCACTGAGATTTTAAATATTTCCACCACAAAAAAGGATATGTGAGGTAATGCATATGTTATATTTATTTACCCTATGACATATACACATTTCAGAACCTTAGATTGAACACAAATATATGCAATATTTTTGTCAATTAAAAAAATAAATAGTGGGGGGGTGGGTGGGCAAAACAATCCCAAAACTGTAACATTGCTCTTTAAATGTAAATAGGGAAATTAAATGTTATAAAAAATTTGACATTTACCATCATCTGTTAAAAATATCAATATATATTGGAGTTCTTTAAATAGCTGAAAAATCTCCATTGTTATCTTTTCTTCTTGAAATCATATTTTTATTTCATTTTTCCTCAGAATTTTATTCCAATGAATTATTTTATGCTTAAATATATATCATTCTACAAACTTCTCTGCAATAAAAATATGTATATGAATGAAAATAATATTTTCTCAAAGACTGCATGTTTTAGTGTAAGTTATAGTAGGTTATTAATATAAATGTTATTAATAATTATCAAACCTAGAAATTGAAATTTTATGACAAGACATTGCCTTGTCAGATAGTTTTCTTTTTGTCTACTTAAATAATGTATCCATGGATAAATAGGACTTACTGATAGAATGAGACAGGATTCAGCGTTAACTATTTTTTTATATAGTAAATGAGAAATATTTATTTACATAGTAAATAAAGAATATAATTTTTATAACATCACTCAATTCTTAGAAATTCATCCAAGTCATACACTCAAATTCATAGTGATATGTTATCAAAAATTATATTTAAAAATCTAGCTATTGACCACTGTTATACCTCCCTTTAATTTTGTTGAAGACAAAAAACAGAAAAGTGCTGACTTAAAAGGATTCTTTAACCTGGCCCTTAGAATAACTTTCTCATTTCCTGGGAAATACATCAAGAAGGCTTTATCAAGGCTTTTCAATGCCTTTTTTTTTTTTTTTTTTAAATAGGGTTGCTCAGGCTGGAATGCAGTGGTGGGATCATGGCTCACGGCAAGCTTGACCTCCCAGGCTCAAGCAATCCTCTCTCCTGAGATGAAAGCCCCTTATACCAACTATACTTTCACTTAGAGGCAACTTGTTTATGGAGCTAACACTAGATGGCCATTGAGTAAAACCACTCCCCGCCAAAAAAAAAAAAAAAAAAAGAAAAGAAACCCTGGAAATTGTGCATTTTAGGACTTTTCCCATTGACTGTGAATCCAGACCTACATATTCATCTAAATTACAATTTTCCAGGTAATCTCAAAGTACCTTGGAAAGATGTGAGGTTAGAAAGAGTCACGTTCTTGAGTATTTTTATACATAGCTAGATTGGTAGTTCCATTTTATAGTTTAAGACAACTGCTCACACATTTGAAAGAACTGAACAGCGTATCTGCTTCGGAGAGGGAGAAAAAACACTAATAGTGTGAGTTTTCTAAACTTCAAGGCATTATATCCTAATTGCTCTGGAAACATTTTATCCTATTTCCATACACAAGGAAATGTTTTGCTTTAAAGATACATTTTAACTGCTTTGTGGAAATTTATAGCAAGAAACAAATGAAAGACAAAAAAAAAAAAAAAAAGAAGGTATAGGGCCACCAGTAAATGTAGAACTTACAAGAAGTGAATTGACAATTTTAAACTATGTATAATAAAATCAATAACATATTTCTATTAAGTTAACCTAAATCTAATAAACACATAATAGAAATGAATGAGCAGAGAAGTGAGTGACAAGAGGCAACAAGCAGGAGGTTTCGTTGCTTAAATATTTTAGTAATGAGTTAATAAAATTGTTTCTTTTACATGTCTGAATAAATGTTTAATATAAAATGCTAACTTACCTTCAATATGTGTTCCTTTTATTTGAAGCTGTAACACTGGCTGACTGAGGAGCTTTTTCACCTCATCCTTGAAATCATGAACACATACACCTATGTCCTCGATGAAGCCGCAGCTGAATTGAGTTCTTCTCACGCTCTTTTCATTAAAAAAAAAAAAAAAAAATTGCAGAGGGTTGAACCTCATACTCGACTGGATTTCCCGAAATGCCTACCGCATATCTCAAATAGTCTATTCTCGAGCAAATAGAAGGGTACTCCACAGAGCCTTGCCTTGAGTTTGTTGCTTGGTAAAATAAGGCACTGAAACTTCCGCATTTTCCTGTATTCTCTCTCATTGCTTTGCTCTCATAGCATTCTCCTTAACGTGATGTGTTCCTTGGTAGTAGTCCAGAGATGGAAGAGGGGAAGTTGGTAAATGACATCACCCTCATTTCTTCTGCCCCATCCTACAAAATATCTGAATTCAGAACATCTTAACTCTCTTTTCCTGGGTTCTCCCATAGCAGAGCCTAAAACAAATGCTTGCATACGGGGAGGAGTGACACAGGTGAGTGAAGGAGGAAGCAGGAGAGCCAATAAAGGAAGCTTTATTCAGCTGGCTACTATTATAGGAGATTGGCTGCTGGATAACAGTGGATCATCAGAGAATCCTAATGAAATGTGTCTCAGGATTGTCTCTTGGTGAACAGAGGGGGAAGCCTTTATCTACCTACTGCCATGGTTCAAGGATTACTCTACAGAGTAACTTCCCACACAGTTGGGTTGCATTTGTGTGAGTTCCCACTGGTATCCACATCAGAGAAACTGAAGCCAGAAGCTTCTAGGTTGTACCTGCATGAAGTTGGTCAAAGCCTTTGAAGAACTGGACATGGGAATAAGAGGTGAGATGAAAAGGAGCGAAAGTGGTCACAAAGGAGATGGATACAGAACATAGGCTTCTAGAGCCAGGCTGTGCCCTTAACAGAAATGTGTAAGGGAAAAACGTAGGTTCATCATATGTTTTTGGTGCCTCAATCAATTCAAGAGTACTTTGCTCAAGGCTAAAATCTTGATGTGCTTCTTTGACCTGTTGGAGGTTTTTATATTCTAAGGAAATTTATCTGATTACCATTAGGGATAGATGAGGAGAAGGCCTTTCTTTTGTGAAGGGGAAAGATGGTGACTGCAAATGGAGAAGTGAGAAAGGAGAATTTTTTCAGTGCCTGAACCCAAAGTGTGTAGGTCAGTTTTAGGAGGGTTCATATGGAATTTTAGGATATGGAAATTGATCCCCTTAAGACTTTCTTGGCAGCAGATCAATATTCTACATAGGTTTACACATTCACTTTTGAAGTTATTTAAAGCTCAGGTGGAGAAATTAGCCTTCAGATTGAGGAGGCATTTCTCAATCATTTTTAGTACAAGAGAGGGCAGAGGGTTTGTGCTGTGATTCTAGCACTCAGGCTTAATGTCATGAAGCTGCCTTCCATGATCTCTGCACTCTTCTGCCACATTTCCACCAATTTGTGCTCAGCCTTCTACGTGGAATTCTCTTCGCTGTGTCTCATTCAATGTGGTGGTGATTCCAGATTCTGTCCTTGGTTCTCTTCTCTCCTTAATCTCCAGTCTCTATACTATCCCAGGACATCTCCTTCATTTTCATGGTTTTAACTGCCAGCTATACATGGATGAACACCAAATATTTATCTTCATGAATTTTCACCTAAAGCTGCAGATCTACTCATCCACATGCCTCATGGATATCCTCCTCAGGAATGTCTAAATCGAGACTGGAATTCAACATGCATCAATTCTTTATCTTCCCTGCCATGCCCAAATCTGCACTTCCTTCCCCTTACTCCCCATTCCAGTGAGCACAATCATTATCCACTCATTCCAACAGGCTAGAAAACTGAAAGGCACCCTGGACTTCCTTCTGCACTTTGCACATCAGACTCCAGTTGAGTTTATTTCTCCTTCTTCCTTCCTTCTTCCTTCTTCTTCTTTTTTTTTTTTTTTTTTTTTGAGATTGAGTCTCACTCTGTCACCCAGGCTGGAGTGCAGTGGCTCAATCTCGGCTCACTGCAACCTTCGCCTCCCAAGTTCAAGTGATTCTCCCACCTCAGCCTACCAAGTAGCTGGGATTACAGGTGTTTGCCACCATGTCTGTCTAATTTTTGTATTTTTACTAGAGACAAGGCCATGTTGGCCAGGCTGGTCTTGAACTCCTGACCTCAAGTGATCCACCCACCTTGGCCTCCCAAAGTGCTGGGATTACAGGCATGAACCGCCGTGCCTGGCCTGATTTTACTTCTTAAACACTTTTACATTCATCTACTTTTCTCCATCTTCAGTGCCACTTACTCCAGGACTCCCTTATATCTTGCATGGATCATTGTAAAAGCCTCCAAACTGGTCTTACTACTTCCATTCATTTTAACCCTCTATTCTATTCCTCAAATTGCTCCCCAAGAGAGATCTCAATAAAATTTAAATCAAATCATGTTACTCCCTTCCTGAAAATTCAATGACTTTCAAGTGCCAACAGGATAAAATTCCAACTGCTTATTATGACTTACAAGATCCTTCATGATTTAACTCTATCAGTGTTACCCAAAATAAGCAGTTATGCAAATACAGTTTTTCCACCTGGAATGCCCTTGTAAACATAATTGAATCTCATTAATGCCACACTGTGTTGAGGGGACTGTTTATCTGGTTATCCTCAATTTTGGGGGAATGGAGTCATTTTTTTAATTATGAAATATTTCAAGCACATAGGAAAGCAAAGAGAAATACTGAAAAATACCACCAAGTTTTGTAAAATCTTAAAACCTTGACATATTCCTGCAGATATATGTTCTTTTCAAGAAATAAGTCACTGCAGATACAGTCAAAGCCCCTCATTACCTCTTTCCCTTCCTACTGTGTCTCCCACTGAAGACAGTGGGGTGAGACAGTCACTCTACTGAAATTGGTGTTGATCATTTTATACTCTTACTATGTTTCTTATATATCCACAAGTTATATATAGTATTGTGTTACACATTTTAAGTTTATGTATATGATATGGTATATATCCTGCAACTTGTTCAGATGCTCAATCAATGCTTTTGAGATTTATCCAGGCTCTAATTCTGAAGTACCAGTTAATATTCTACTGTATGAATCTACCATAGTCCATTTATCCATTTTCCCATTGATGGATATTTAGATTTTTTCCAATTTTCCTCTATTATGAATAATGCTGCAGTGAACATTTTGTGTGTATCTCTTCTGTGCATATGTGAGAGGATTTTCTTAGGTTACATACCTAGGATGAAATTGCTAGTAGAAGGACATGCACAAATTAAACTTTAGTACTTATATTTCTCCAAAAGTTCTTAAAGAAAAATTTTAGTATAAATTTTTCTCCAAAGGCAGTAGAATCTGGACCCTACTACTAGTCAGGTAAAGTTCGAGTATGAATCTAGTCCAAATATTTAACTCTACTTAAGAAGATTTTTTTTCTATAGCTTCTTTTGTGCTACAATGGCAGAGCTGAGTAGTTGAACAGAGATCATATGGAACAGAGATCAAAAAGCTTAAACTATTTACTATCTTGTGTTCACTATAGAAAATGTTTGCCAACTAAGAAGAGGTTCTTAAATTAGCAAGTTTGTGAAGTTTATAAGAGGGCCTTATAGTGATTGAGTCTATATATGGTTATGAGAATTTCAGTGCGTACTATGTGTCTGTGCATGTATGAGTGCATGTGCATGTGTTTTGTTTATATAAGCAAGAAAGGAATGATGTGTTTTTCACATCAATCTCTAGCTGCTTCTTTCTGAACTGGCTTTCTTCTGAGTGTTCAGGCGCTAGGAGCCTTTTCTTTCTCTTTTCTTTTTCTTTTCTTTTCTTTTCCTTCTTTCTTTCTTTTTTTTTTTTTTTTTTTGAGACAGAGTCTCACTCTATTGCTCAGGCTGGAGTGCAGTGACATGATTTCTGCTCACTGCAACCTCTGCCTCCTGGGTTCAATGATCCTCCTGCCTCAGCCTCCCGAATAGCTGGGATTACAGGCATGCACCACCATGACCGGCTTATTTTGTATTTTTAGTAGAGATGGGGTTTCGTCATGTTGGTCATGCTGGTGTTGAAGTTCTGACCTCAGGTGATCCGCCCACCTCAGCCTCCCAAAGTGCTGGGATTATGGGTGTGAGCCACCACAGCTGGCCTCCATTTCTTTTCATTCATGTAGTCAGTCAATAAATATTTATTGGGTGCCTATTGTACAACTGGCACTATTGTAGGTGCTGGGGGTACACCAGTGAACACAGCAGATAATGTTCTGGCCCTCAAGAACTTATATTCTGATGGGGGTAGACAGACAAATAAATATACACATATATCATGTGGCAATTTTGCAATTTAGAAAAAGCAGGGAAAGGGGAATAGAAAATGTTAGAGTCAGGGGGAGAGTTGCTGTTTTATAAAAAGTGTTCCTTGAAGACATTATTGCACAGGTGTATTATAAATATAAAGAAAGTCAGGAAGGGAATCTTGTGATTCCATGAGGTAAGACCATTTGAAGCAGAGGAAATAGTAAGTGCAAAGGTCCTGAAGTGGGGGAGCGCTTGGCACTTTTGAGGACTAGAAATGAGGTCAACATGGCTGAGGCAGAGCCAGCAGGGAGTAGGCAAATGTGATAGCAGGTGAGGTCAGGATAGTGCTGGGAGGGAACTGTTGATTTTACTCTGACTCAGGTAGGAAGTCATTGGACAGATCTGAGCAGAGGAATGCCATAATCTGATTGACGTTTTTGAACAATCATTCTGATAACAGGAATAGATAGAAGCAGGGAGGCCCATTGTGGAGGCTATTACAATATTCCCAATGAGAGATGATTGCCCTATGGACCAGGATTTTTGCAATAGAAATTCTGAGAAAGGGTCAGATTCTGGATGTATTTTGGAAGAAGAGTCAATAAGATTTGGTGCTGAGGTTGAATATGGGATGTGAGTAAAAAAGAAGACTAATGGGTGACCAAGATTTCTGACATGAATAATAAAAAATGGAGATGCTATTACTTAGGTGGGGAAGATCTAAGTAATAGCAACCTGTAGGAACATGTTGAGGAGGGAGTAAGGAGTTTCTTTTGAGATATGTTAAGGCTGAGATTTCTATGAGACTTAAAAGTAGAATTCTTTAGAGGGCAGTGAGATATATGGACTTGAAATTTGTGGTTGAGATCCAGACCAGAGGTTTGAATTTTGGAGTTATCAACATGCAGACGCTTTTTAAAAGTATGAGACTGGGTGAGATCTCTTAGGAAGTTAATTTGGATAGATTAAAGAAGAAAGAGGACTGAGGGCCTTGTCCTGAGGCCCTCCAACATTTAGAGTGTAAAGAAATGAGGGAGAAACTGCAAAGAAGACCTAAGGAGTGGTCTTAGAGATTGGAGAAGCAAGAGACTGTGCTGTCCCAGAAGCCAAAGGAAGAAAGTGTTTCCAAAAAGAGTATGTAGTATATTCTATTAAATGTTGTCAGTAGGTGAAATTGTAAGGATTGAAAATCGATTTTGAATTCAGCAACAGAATGATTATTGGTGACCTTGGCATAATGTATTTTAGTGAAGCGGTAGCATCAAATGACTGTTTGGAGTACGTTCAAGAGAAAATATGAGGGTGGAGCCAAGATGGCCAAATAGGAACAGCTCCAGTCTATGGCTCCCAGCACGAGCAATGCAGAAGATGAATGATTTCTGCATTTCCAACTGAGGTACCGGGTGCATCTCACTGGGGATTGTCAGACAGGGGGTGCCATACACCGAGCCTGAGCCAAAACAGGGCGAGGCATCGCCTCACCAGGGAAGGGCAAGGGGTCAGGGAATTCCCTTTCCTAGCCAAGGAAAGGGGTGATGGATGGCACCTGGAAAATCGGGTCACTCCCACCCTAATACTGCACTTTTCCGACAGTCTTAGCAAAGGGCACACCAGGAGATTATATTGTGTGCCTGGCTCAGAGGGTCCTATGCCCATGGAGCCTTGCTCATTGCTAGCACAGTAGTCTGAGATCAAACTGCTAGGTGGCAGTGAGGCTAGGGGAGGGGCACTCGCCATTGCTCAGGCTTGAGTAGGTAAACAAAGCAGCTGGAAACTCGAACTGGGTGGAGCCCACTGCAGCTCAAGGAGGCCTACCTGCCTTTATAGACTCCACCTCTGGGGACAAGGCATAGCCAAACAAAAGAGAGCAGAAACCTCTGCAGACTTCAAAGTCCCTGTCTGACAGCTTTGAAGAGAGTAGTGGTTCTCCCAGCACGCAGCTTGAGATCTGAGAATGGACAGACTGCCTCCTCAAGTGGGTCCCTGACCCCCAAGTAGCCTAAATGGGAGGCACCCCCCAGTAGTGGCAGACTGACACCTCACATGGCCGGGTACTCCTCTGACACAAAACGTTCAGAGGAATGATCAGGCAGCCACATTTGCTGCTCACCAATATCCACTGTTCTGCAGCCTCCACTGCTGATACCCAGGCAAACAGGGTCTGGAGTGGACCTCCAGCAAACTCCAACAGACCTGCAGCTGAGGGTCCTGACTGTTAGAAGGAAAACTAACAAACAGAAAGAATATCCACACCAAAACCCCATTTGTAGGTCACCATCATGAAAAACCAAAGGTAGATAAAACCACAAAGATGAGGAAAAAAACAGCAGAAAAACTGAAAAATCTAAAAATCAGAGCACCTCTCCTCCTCCAAAGGAACACAGCTCCTCACCAGCAATGGAACAAAGCTGGATGGAGAATGACTTTGATGAGTTGAGATAAGAAGGCTTCAGATGATCAAACTACTCCAAGCTAAAGGAGGAAGTTTGAACCCATGGCAAAGAAGTTAAAAACCTTGAAAAAAGATTAGACGAATGGCTAACTAGAATATCCAATGCAGAGAAGTCCTTAAAGACCCTGATGGAGCTGAAAACCATGGCACGAGAACTACATGATGAATGCACAAGCCTCAGTAGCCTATTTAATCAACTGGAAGAAAGGGTATCATTGATGGAAGATCAAATGAATGAAATGAAGCAAGAAGAGAGTTTAGAGAAAAAAGAATAAAAAGAAATTAACAAAGCCTCCAAGAAATATGGGACTATGTGAAAAGACCAAATCTACGTCTGATTGGTGTACCTGAAAGTGATGGGGAGAATGGACCCAAGCTGGAAAACACTCTGCAGGATATTATCCAGTAGAACTTCCCCAATCTAGCAAGGCAGGCCAACATTCAAATTCAGGAAATACAGAGAACACCAGAAAGGTACTCCTCAAGAAGAGCAACTCCAAGACACATAATTGTCAGATTCACCAAAGTTGAAATGAAGGAAAAAGTGTTAAGGGCAGCCAGAGAGAAAGGTCGGGTTACCCACAAAGGGAAGCCCATCAGACTAACAGCTGATCTCTCGGCAGAAACTCTACAAACCAGAAGAGAGTGGGGGAAAATATTCAACATTCTTAAAAACAAGAATTTTCAACCCAGAATTTCTTATCCAGCCAAACTAAGCTTCATAAGTGAAGGAGAAATAAAATCCTTTACAGACAAGCAAATTCTGTGAGATTTTGTCACCACCAGGCCTGCCCTAAAAGAGCTCCTGAAGGAAGCACTAAACATGGAAAGGAACAACCAGTACCAGCTACTGCAAAAACATGCCAAATTGTAAAGATCATCAAGGGTAGGAAGAAAGTGCATCAACTAACGAGCAAAATAACCAGCTAACATCATAATGACAGGATCAAATTCACACATAATGATATTAACTTTAAATGTAAATGGGCTAAATGCTCCAATTAAAAGACACAGACTGGCAAATTGGATAAAGAGTCAAGACCCATCAGTGTGCTGTATTCAGGAAACCCATCTCCTGTGCAAAGACACACATAGGCTCAAAATAAAGGGATGGAGGAAGATCTACCAAGCAAATGGAAAAGAAAAAAAGACAGGGGTTGCAATCCTAGTCTCTCATAAAACAGACTTTAAACCAACAAAGATTAAAAGAGACAAAAAAGGCCATTACATAATGGTAAAGGGATCAATTCAACAAGAAGAACTAACTATCCTAAATATATATGCACCCAATACAGGAGCACCCAGATTCATAAAGCAAGTCCTTAGAGACCAATAAAGAGAATTAGACTCCCACAAAATAATAATGGGAGACTTTAACACCCCACTGTCAACATTAGACAGAACAACGAGACAGAAAGTTAACAAGGATATCCAGGAATTGAACTCAGCTCTGCACCAAGTGGGCCTAATAGACTTCTACAGAACTCTCCACCCCAAATCAATAGAATATACATTCTTTTCAGCACCACACCTCACCTATTCCAAAATTGACCACATAGTTGGAAGTAAAGCACTCCTCAGCAAATGTAAAAGAACAGAAATTATAACAAACTGTCTCTCAGACGATAGTACAATCAAACTAGAACTCAGGATTAAGAAACTCACTCAAAACCACTCAACGACATAGAAACTGAACAACCTGCTCCTGAATGACTACGGGGTACATAACAAAATAAAGGCAGATATAAAGATGATCTTTGAAACCAATGAGAACAAAGACACAACATGCTAGAATCTCTGGGACACATTCAAAGCAGTGTGTAGAGGGAAATTTATAGCACTAAATGCCCACAAGACAAAGCAGAAAAGATCTAAAATGGGCACCCTAACATCACAATTAAAAGAACTAGAGAAGCAAGAGCAAACACCTTCAAACACTAGCAGAAGACAAGAAATAACTAAGATCAGAGCAGAACTGAAGGAAATAGAGACACAAAAATCCCTTCAAAAAATCAATGAATCCAGGAGCTGGTTTTTTGAAAAGATCAACAGAATTGATAGACCACTAGCAAGACTAATAAAGAAGATAAGAGAGAAGAATCAAATAGATGCAATAAAAAATGATAAAGGTGATATCACCACCAATCCCACAGAAATACAAACTACCATCAGAGAATACTATAAACACCTCTATGCAAATAAACTAGAAAATCTGGAAGAAATGGATAAATTACTTGACACATACACTCTCCAAAGACTAAACCAGGAAGAAGTTGAATCTCTGAATACACCAATAACAGGTTCTGAAATTGAGGCAATAATTAATAGCTTACCAACCAAAAAAAGTCCAGGGCAAGACGGATTCACAGCTGAATTCTACCAGAGATACAAGGAGGAGCTGGTACTATTCCTTCTGAAACTATCCCAATCAATAGAAAAAGAGGGAATCCTCCCTAACTCATTTTATGAGGCCAGTATCATCCTGATACCAAAGCCTGGCAGAGACACAACAAAAAAAGAGAATTTTAGACCAATATCCCTGATGAACATCGATGCAAAAATCCTCAATAAAATACTGGCAAACCAAATCCAGCAGCACATCAAAAAGCTTATCCACCATGATCAAGTATGCTTCATCCCTGGGATGCAAGGCTGGTATAACATACGCAAATCAATAAATGTAATCCAGCATATAAACAGAACCAAAGACAAAAACCACATGATTATCTCAATAGATGCAGAAAAGGCCTTTGACAAAATTCAACAATGCTTCATGTTAAAAACTCTCAATAAATTAGGTATTGATGAGATGTATCTCAAAATAATAAGAGCTATCTATGACAAACTCATGGCCAATATCATACTGAATGGGCAAAAACTGGAAGCATTCCCTTTGAAAACGTGCACAAGACAGGGATGCCCTCCCTCACCACTCCTATTCAACATAGTGTTGGAAGATCTGGCCAGGGCAATTAGACAGGAGAAGGAAATAAAGTGTATTCAATTAGGAAAATAGGAAGTCAAATTGTCCCTGTTTGCAGATGACATGATTGTATATCTAGAAAACCCCATCATCTAAGCCCAAAATCTCCTTAAGCTGATAAGCAACTTCAGCAAAGTCTCAGGATACAAAATCAATGTGTAAAAATCACAAGCATTTTTATACGTCAATAGCAGACAAACAGAGAGCCAAACCATGAGTGAACTCCCATTCACAATTGCTTCAAAGAGAATAAAATACCTAAGAATCCAACTTACAAGGGATGTGAAGGAGCTCTTCAAAGATAACTACAAACCACTGCTCAATGAAATAAAAGAGGATACAAATAAATGGAAGAACACTCCATGCTCGTGGGTAGGAAGAATCAATATCATGAAAATGGTCATACTGCCCAAGGTAATTTATAGATTCAATGCCATCCCCATCAAGCTACCAATGACTTTCTTCACAGAATTGGAAAAAACTACTTTAAAGCTCATATGGAAGCAAAAAAGAGCCCACATTGCCAAGTCAATCCTAAGCCAAAAGAACAAAGCTGGAGGCATCACGCTACCTGACTTCAAACTATACTATAAGGCTACAGTAACCAAAACAGCATGGTACTGGTACCAAAACAGAGATATAGACCAATGGAACAGAACAGAGCCCTCAGAAATAATGCCACATATCTACAACTATCTGATCTTTGACAAACCTGAGAAAAACAAGAAACGGGGAAAGATTCCCTATTTAATAAATGGTGCTGGGAAAACTGGCTAGCCATATGTAGAAAGCTGAAACTGGATCCCTTCCTTACACCTTATACTAAAATTAATTCAAGATGGATTAAAGATTTGAATGTTAGACCTAAAACCATAAAAACCCTAGAAGAAAACCTAGGCAATGCCATTCAGGACATAGGCAAGGGCAAGGACTTCATGTCTAAAACACCAAAAGCAATGGCAACAAAAGTCAAAATTGAAAAATGGGATCTAATTAAACTAAAGAGCTTCTGCACAGCAAAAGAAACTACCATAAGAGTGAACAGGCAACCTACAGAATGGGAGAAAATTTTTGCAATCCTCTTATCTGACAAAGGGCTAATATCCAGAATCTACAACGAACTCAAACAAATTTACAAGAAAAAAACAAACAACCCCATCAACAAGTGGGCGAAGGATATGAACAGACACTTCTCAAAAGAAGACATTTATGCAGCCAAAAGACACATGAGAAAATGCTGGCCATCAGAGAAATGCAAATCAAACCACAAATGAGATACCATCTCACACCAGTTAGAATGGCGATCATTAGAAAGTCAGGAAACAACAGGTGCTGGAGAGGATGTGGAGAAATTGGAACACTTTTACACTGCTGGTGGGACTGTAAACTAGTTCAACCATTGTGGAAGTCGGTGTGGCAATTCCTCAGGGATCTAGAACTAGAAATACCATTTGACCCAGCCATCCAATTACTGGGTGTATATACCCAAAGGATTATAAATCATGAAGCTATAAAGACACATGCACACGTACGTTTATTGTAGCACTATTCACAATAGCAAAGACTTGGAACCAACCGAAATGTCCAACAACAATAGACTGGATTAAGAAAATGTGGCCCATATACACCATGGAATACTATGCAGCCATAAAAAATGATGAGTTCACGTCCTTTGTAGGGACATGGTTGAAGCTGGAAACCATCATTCTCAGCAAACTATCGCAAGTACAAAAAACCAAACACCACATGTTCTCACTCATAGGTGGGAAATGAACAATCAGAACACATGGACACAGGAAGGGGAACATCACACACCGGGGCCCGTTGTGGGGTTGGGGGAGGGGGGAGGGATAGCATTTGCAGATATACCTAATGTTAAATGACGAGTTAATGGGCGCAGCACAGCAACATGACACATGTATATATATGTAACAAACCTCCACGTTGTGCACATGTACCCTAAAACTTAAAGTATAATTAAAAAAAAACAAAAAACAAATTCTAGGGATTACACCCTTAAAAAAAAAAAGAAAATGTGAAGAGAGGAATTGGAGAAAAAGAAAATAGTTCCTTGGCAATAGTGGTTCTGGATATTCACTCCAATTGTAATACTTCATTCTTAGGGCCAGGTCGGTATGTCCTTTCCTGACCCTTCAGCATAGTGAATTCATATTCACACTTCTAACCCATGCTTACCATATAGTGAATTCATATTCACACTTCAAACCCATGCTTACCATATAGTGAATTCATATTCACACTTCAAACCCATGCTTACCATATCTGCATGTGTGGATTCTTTTTGATTTTTCAGATAGAACAAATCATTTTCGGCTTTATATGTGTTTTTAGCATAAACAGATTGTAGTACATAATTTATTCTCCACCAGGCAGTAACTTCATGACAGTAAGTGTTGTGATTTTCTAGAATTCTCAGTGCTAAGTATAATGTCTGCCTATCATTTAATAATGTTCAGTTAATGTTTGTTGAACTAAACCGTATTATCTTAAAGAAATGTAGGGTCCATGTTTTCCCTTCCATTTCCAAAGGCATAATTGTGTGCCCTGCACCATGCCTTCTCCCTCACCTCCCGCTCTCCTGTCCACCCACCGGTAGCCTCAAACAGGATTCTTGTTGGAAGTTTGGCAAAGCCCTTCTTTTCATTTTTACTTTTATTATCATAAGTTCTTCCAGTTGAAGTCAGAGGGGCCCTCGCTGATGCATACAGCCAAGGAGTCTGCTTGGTGTCTTTGATGTGTTCCATCATGTTAATTTGTGGTGGCATGAAGTGGGTGACCCCATAATGTTCCTTTTTTCCATACATCATTAGGCCCAGCTAAGGGCTTTGTGAGTTTTCCACTCAGGCAACTGTGTTTTCCTAATATGCCTTCACCAAATGCTGACATCATTTCATCTCCAGAATCATTTCAGTTACATTAGAAACAGTCTTTTATTGCACTTTGGAAGCATTTTGAGATGACAAATTATTTATTTCTATATTCAATCGGCTGTTCTTTTCTTTCTCTGGCTCTTCAATTACAGCTGTTGAACCACAGCTGTAATTTGGGGTCTTAGCTCAAAGTGACTGCTCTGTGTTTTTCTCAAGGGTCAGAAAATCGAATCTGTATTCTGCTAGTCAGACACACTGTAAAGAGTGCCACCTTTGCCTGGGTTGTTTGGAAGGCCCATAGGTCTTGGTAACTTGGTGGATTTTGATGCACAGCCATGAGTTCCACAGGGCATTAATTCTGCTCCATTGCCTGTCCATTTGAACTAAAAAGTGCCAGTGAATACATTATACTTGGGGACCTCCAAATCCCACTTTAGTTCTTGAGGTCACTGATGTTTGCTATCTTTCGGTATCCAGAGCACATTTGAAGTGTGTTGCTATTGTGTCCTTTTTCATTTATCTTTGACAAATGCATCAGCTCTTGCTCTTGAGGAAATTAACATTTCCTTTGGTTCAGAAAGCAAGATTATTTGGAAAGGTCAATGTATGTGGCACAGCACTCTGTTTTGTTTCTACAGAGACAAGTGTCTGCTATATTTCAGTGATGCCTCAGCTTAAAGGCTAGCTTATTTATACTGAATAGCCACATAGAAATGATCACTATAAATTCATTTGTTGTTTGAAAGAAACTGCTTTCATGCAGATTTTATGAGGGAATCCATTAAAAGAAATATTATCAAACCTGAGCTTAAGGAGCCATTTCTGTTCTGTTTAAACCAGATTCTAAGTAACAGATGTATTTCTCCCTTCTAACATGACAGTGATTCAGAATTTGTCATAGAGTGGAGCAAGAAAGAGAAACCCATAAAGACTGACCATAGAGACTTCAGGAGTTTGTCAATCCTGCAGAGAAAAAGACTACAGGAAAAAAAGGCAAAAGCTGAACACAGTAAGGAGCAGTCAGGATGGCAACACAGAGATAAAAGAAGCCACCTTTTCTCTCCTTTCAAGACATGGAACCATGCACAAGATTGACTTGCCTCTGGGCTATGAAAGATGTGAAATGCTGCCCTAAGGAGAGGCCAGAGTATTTCCTCAGCCCAGAGGGTAAAGTAAAAATCTATCAATTGGATTTTGATGGCAGGGAGTGGGAATTTATTCACTTTATATTCCTTTTGTGGCTTTCACTGTTCATTATATTTCTTTTAAATTAACTGGTAGAAAACATGGCTGACCTCTGTGTCAGATACTTTCAGGAGGGCCAGTTGGAGATTGGAAATGGGGTAGGGATTTGAAGGGTGAGATTAGACAGCCAGTTTCAACCCTACCTGAACATTAGAATTGCCAGAGGAGCCCAGACTCCACTCATTGTGATGTCTTAATTAATTGCCTTGGAGTGGAACCTGAATAATCTATTTTTTTAAAGTTCCTCAGTTATAATGTGTAGCCAGGCTGGGAACCCTTGAGTTGCAGTATATGACAACACAGCAATAGTCCATGAAAGTAATTCCCAGCAGGAATCTAGTGTTAAGCCTACATAGTTTTACTTGAAGGTCTGTAGTCCATTACCTTGGTTATTTAGGTGCAGCTGTGCTGCTGATATTCTCTCAACTTTTGTTGACATGAACAAGACTTTAGTTTTCTTTTACTCTTAGAGGATAGTTGCTTTGGATATAATCTAGGTTGACAAGTTTTCTATTTCATCACCTTAAAAATATCATCCCATTTTCTTCTGGTCTTCATGATTTCGGCATAGGAATAAGCTGTTATTATCTTTGTTCTTTTATAATTAATATGGGTTTTTTTCCTTCTAACCTCATTTAATATTTTCCCTTTATTACTTATTTTCAGCAATTTGATTTTGATGTACCTTGGTTTTGTTTTGTTTGTGTGTTCCTGGAATTTGTTGAGCACCTCAGATCTGTTGTTTTATAATTTTCATCACATTTTTGGTCACTATTTCTTCAAATATTTTAATTTCCTGTCTGCTTCTTCTATAGGACTCTAATTATATGCTGTCTTAGTCCATTTTGTGTTGTTGTAACAGAATACTACAGACTGGGTAATTTACAAAGAACATATTTTTTTTTTTCTCATGGATCCAGAGGCTGGGAAGTCCAAAATTGAAGGGCTGCATCTGGTAAGGACATTCTTGCTGTATCATAATGTGGTGGAAAGCATCACATGACAAGAGAGTGCATGCATGTGAGAGAGGAAGGGGGCCAAACATTATTTTATCAAGAATTCACTGTCATAATAACTAACCTACTCCTGAGATAATGGCTTTAATAAGTTCATGAGGACAGAGCCCTCATGACCTAATCACATCTTAGTTTCCTCCTCTCAATACTGTTGCATTGGGGATTAGGTTTTCAACACACAAATGTTGAAGGACACATTCAAACCACAGCACAGGTATATTAAACTATTTGATATTACCCCAAAGCTCAATGAGGATATGTTTATTTTTTATTTTTTCTTATTTTTTTTTTTTGAGATAGAGTCTTGCCCTGTCTCCCAGGCTGGAGTGCAGTGACATGATCTCAGCTCACTGCAACCTCCGCCTCCCAGGTTCAAGCAATTCTCCTGCCTCAGCCTCCCAAGTAGCTGGGACTACAGGCGCATGCTGCCACGCCTGGCTAATTTTTTTTTGTATTTTAGTAGAGATGGGCTTTCACTGTGTTGATCAGGCTGGCCTTGAACTCCTGAGCTCAGGCAATCCACCCATCTTGGTCTCCCAAAATGCTGGGATTACAGGCGTGAACAACTGTGCCTGGCCTTCTGCTGTGTTCTATATGCTATTAATCCAACCCAGTGCATTTTTCATTTAAGATTGTGTCTTTAATCTCTGTAAATTCCATTTGAGCTTTTAAAGATATCTTCCATTTTCTCTTCTCAGTTTATTCATGTATTTATTTACATCCTTAAGCATATTCATACAATTTATCTTAGCAGTTTAAAAGTCCTTGTCTTCTTTTTTAATCATTTTTGCTATTTCTCAGTCTAGTTTTATTGACTACATTTTCTGCTGATTATGGATCATGTTTTTCTGCTTTTCATGCCTGATAATTTTTTGTATCTTAAAAATTTATATCTGTTATTTTTTATGAGTTTTATTTAAATTCAGGGATACATGTGCAATATGTGCAGGTTTGTTACATAGGTAAATGTATATCAAGGGGGTTTGTTTTATATTCATCAGCCAAGTATTAAGCCTAGTATCCATTAGTTATTTTTCCTGACTCTCTTCCTCCTCCAAACTTCTGCCATCTGGTAGGCCCCAATGTGTGTTGTTCCTCTTTATGTGTCCATGTGTTCTCATCATTTAGCTCCCACTTATAAGTCAGAACATGTGGTATTTGGTTTTCTCTTCCTAGGTTAGTTTGCTAAGGATGATGGCCTTCAGCTCCATCCATGTCCCTGCAAAAGACATGATCTTTTTCCTTTTTATGGCTGCAGAGTATCCCATGGTATATATGTACCACATTTTCTTTAACCAGTCTATCACTGATGGACATTTAGGTTGATTCCATGTCTTTGCTACTGTGAATAGTGCTACAGTGAACATATGTATGCATTTATCTTTATAATAGAAGAATTTATAGTCCTTTGGGTATATAGCCAGTAAGACATTGATGGGTTGAATTGTATTTCTGTCTCTAGGTCTCTGAGGAATCATCACACTGTCTTCCACAATGGTTGAACTAATTTATACTCCCCAAAACAGTGTAAAAGTGTTTCTTTTTCTCTACAACCTCACCAACATCTATTATTTTTTGACTTTTTAATAACAGCCTTTCTGACTTGTGTGAGATGGTATCTCATTGTGGTTTTGATTTGTATTTCTCTAAAGATCAGTGATACTGAGCTTTTGAAAATATGATTGCTGGCCGTGTGTATATCTTCTTTAGAAAAGTGTCTGTTCATGTTCTTTGCCCACTTTTTAATGGGGTTGTTTCTTTCTTGTAAATTTGTTTAAATTCCTTATAGATGCTGGATATTAGGCCTTTGTCAGATGCATAGTTTGCAAACATTTTCTCCCATTCTGTAGATTGTCTGTTTACTCTGTTGATAGTTTCTTTTGCTGTGCAGAAGCTCTTTAATTAGATCCCATTTGTCAATTTTTGCTTTTGTTGCAGTTGCTTTTGACATCTTTGTCATGAACTCTTTGCCCATTCTTATGTTCAGGATGGTACTGCCTAGGTTGTCTTCCAGGGTTTTTATAGTGTTATTCTTTACATTTAAGTCTTTACTCTATCTTGAGTTGATTTATGTATATGGTGTAGGAAAGGGGTCCAGTTTCAATACTCTGTATACGGCTAGCCAGTTCTCCTGCATTTATTAAATAGGGAACCATTGCCCCATTGCTTCTTTTTGTTGGCTTTGTTGAAGATCAGATGGTTGTAGGTGTGTGGTCTTATTTCTGGGTTCTCTGTTCTGTTCCATTGGTTGATGTGTCTATTCTTGTACCAGTACCATGCTGTTTTGGTTAGGTTACTGTAGCCCTGTAGTATAGTTTGAAGTCAGGTAACATGATGCCTCCAGATTTGTCCTTTTTGTTTAGGATTACCTTGGCTTTTGGGCTCTTTTTTTTGGTTCCATATGAATTTTAAAATAGTTTTTTTTCTAGTTCTGTGAAGAATGTCAATGGTAGTTTAGTGTCAATGGCATTAAATCTATAAATTGCTAGTGGCAGTATGGTCATTTTAACAATACTGATTCTTCCTATCCATGAGCACAGCATGTTTTTCTATTTATTTGTGTCATCTCTGATTTATTTGAGCAGTGTTTTGTAATTTTCCTGTAGAGATCCTCCACTTCTCTTGTTACTGATATTCCTAGGTATTTTATGCTTTTTGGGGCAATTGTGAATGGGGGTTCATTCATGATTTGCATGCCTAATAATTCTAAAATTATTTCTGACATTGTGAGTTTTATGGTTTGCTGAAATTATTTGTATTCCTTTAAAGAGTATTGGATTTTATTCTGGTGTGTAGTTTCATAACTGGCAGGTAAATTTGAAACTTTTAAGACTTAATTTTAAGCTTTGTTAGGTGTTCCCAGGGAAGTCTTTATCCTGGGATTAATTTAGCTCCAATATTAAGGCAGGACCCTTCTGTGGACTGTATGCAATGACCCATGTTAGGAGGTCTCTTCATTCTGGCTTGTGGAAACACAAGCTATTTTCACTTCTGTGTGAGCTATGAGAAGCTGTTTTATAGCTTTCCTCAGTCTTTGGTAGTTTCTTATCATTCATGGGTAGGTCAGTATTCAGCCAAAGACTCAAGAAGATCCCTATGCAGAACTCCAGAGCTCTCTGTGAAGTTCTGCTATGCAATGAATTATATACCATAAAATTTATGTATTGAAGCCCTAATCCCTAATGTAATGGTATTTGGAGATGGGGCCTTTGGGAGACAATTGGTCTAGATGAGGTCATGGGGTGGTGTTCTGAAGTATGGCTCCCTCACCCTCCCCTTCTCCTTCCCCCACTCCTCTCTCTGCCATGTTAGGGTACAGCAAGAAGGCAGTGATCTGCCAACCAGGAAGAGAGTCCTCATCAGAACCTGGCATCCTGATCTGAGACTTCCAGCCTCTAGAACTTTGAGAAAACAAACCCCTGCTTCCTAAGCCACCCAGCCATGGTATTTTGTTATGACAGCCTGAGCTGAGTCAAGTTGTCTCTTCTTTGTTTTTAAATATGACAGTTATAGGAGTCTCCACCTTCCCAAACTTTAATCCCTATTCCTTAATTTGGAGCCCCCTCCTTGACTGTGATCTGAAAACTGTTTGAAGGCATTAACTTAGAGTTCACTGATAATCTTGTTTCCCTTTTCTCAGGGATCACATTCTGTTGCCCAGAATCTGAAAACTTTTGTTTTATATACTTTATCTGGTTTTCTTGGCTATGGTGAGGTGGCAATTCCTGTGGCAGCTAACACTTCATAGGCAGAAACCTGTGTCTTTTTAATACAATCTCATTTTATTTTATTGCTTCTGGATGTTGAATGATAGTTTGAAACATTCCTCCCTCTCCCAGGTAATAGAGGAATTTACCCATGTCTTAGTCTAATAGTTCTGTAGTTTTCTTTTTAACAAATTTAGTATATTTAACAAATTAGTATATGATGAATATTTTTATCTCTAAAAATTCTTTTTGTTTAAAGTGGAAGTTATTAATCCTCATTCTGTATCATAAGTACCTAGGGAACTTTTAGAAACATCCATGCCCAGGCCTCACTTTTAGAAGTTAATTGGTGAGGGTAAAACACTGGTAACTTAAAAACTTTTTCCAAAATTATTATAATGTGTAAACAGGTCTGAGAACTATTAAAGTCTTCTTTTTTCTTTCTGATATTAATCCAGCACCTTTGACCAGCCATGAAACCTTCCTTCCAATATTAATTATACTGGCTTTCATTTGATTAGTTTTGCCTTAGTAGTTTTTCTATGCTTTAACTTTCTAACTTTTTCTGTTCTTTATATTTTAAACTTGTCTTTTTGTTTACTTGTCTTTTATAGGTAGCATAAACCTGGATTTAAAAAAAATTCTCTAATTTGAAATGTTTATCTCTTTGCTGGTATGTTTAGTCCATTTACTTTTATTGTTATTTCTAATATTTTGGATTTACTTCTACTAGTTTACTTAGCATTTTCTCTGTGTACTGCTTTTCCTATATCCCCTTTTTCTTCCATTCTGATTTTCTATCTTCTGAATTTATTACAGTCAAAAACTTTCGCCTCCCGCCCCCGCTGCCAACATCTGGTTTGGAAGTCACACACTCTACTTCCATTCTTTTTGTGATTACTTTTGAAATTATTATGAAATATACCTAAAGCCTAAAGTTAATAAATATCTTAACCTCCTTCTGAACTTTGGAAAGACCTTAGAACACTTGAATTCTAATCATATGTTTGCATCGTATATCTAATTTTTGCCCAATATTTTTAAGTCTATCGTATTTTAAACACCACAAATTAGATATTATTATTTTATATGGATATATTTTAGATTTATTATCATGTTTACCAAGAAGACATGGAAAGACAGAAATAAGTACCGAGAGTTAATATGTAGAAGAGTGGCAAATGAATTTGAATACCAAAATAGAATTATAAAATAGTTACACACCTTCTCTGTATGAAAACAAAAATTTGTGGTTACAACCTAAAGACAAAGAATTGTTATAGAATGTTTTCTGATGACATCAGATCAACCTAAGGCTAAAATTTAAAATAGTTGGCATTTTTATCAAGGAAATGAAAATCTAAACAATATATTCTATAACCCTATTATAGTATTTTCACCTGAAATCTGGAAGAGTGTAGTCAATTCTAATGCATCTTAAGAGAGAAATGGTAGATCAATGACCAAAGATGTGTTTCTGGCTTTGGTAATAATAGCCATCATATAAAGGACAACTGGGAAACTTCAATCTAGGAGGTTAAGGCTAAAGAAAGACATGACTAAAATTTATAAATTAAGCAGTGTATAAGGTAATACATGATCTCATCAAACTGTGAAGGAACAGTGTGTCATTCTTTAAAACTTGTTCCTGCATTTAAGCAAAGGAAGGACATAATTTTGGAAGGTGTGTGGAGCTTAATAAATGGGGGCCGTTGTAAATGAATTCATAGTGATTTGAGTGAATTTAGGAATGGCAAAGCTACAAGGAGATAGAAAAAAGAAGCTGGAATATAAATATGAATATATTATGTGCACATGCATGTGTGTGCACACAGACATACACACATGTGCCCACACACACAACCACATCATGTCACTTGGAAGCATTTGATACAGCAGAATACTAGATTGTATTGTCCAGTTTGACAATTTCCACATTTTGATGTTGCAGTGAGAGAACGAAAATGTATTTTGGAACAGATATCAAGAAAAGTCATACTGTATTGGTGGAACTTGAGCTAATAAATCATTGAGAGAAGGCTGGAGAGTGAAGAGGATAAGATGTTTCAAGATATCTGCCAGACAGTGGGGGGTGAGAGGGAAAAGCAGGGAGCCTGAATTTAGCCAGTTTGAATAATAGATCCTTGTTACCACATGAGCACTGAATTGAAAGCTTCCTGAGAGTTGGAATAGTGTAAGATAAGAGGATAGACTCTGGACAAGTGGAGCCCAACAGAACTATGACTTGTGCCAGTTATTAAAAAGACAAAAAATAACAGATGCTGGCAAGGCTGTGGAGAAAAGAGTATGCTTATAAACAGTGGGAATGTAAATTAGTTCAGCCACTGTGGACAGCAGTTTGGAGATGTCTTAATGAACTTCAAACAGAACTACCATTTGACTTAGCAATCCCATCACTGCGTATATACCCTAAGGAAAAGAAATCATTTTACCAAAAAAAGACACATGCACTCGTATGTTCATCACAGTACCATTAACAATAGCAAAGTCATGGAATCAATCTAGGTGCCCATCAGCAGTGGATTGGGTAAAGAAACTGTGGTACATATACAACACAGAATACCATGCAGCCACAAAAATAATGAAATCATGTTCTTTGCAGCAATATAGATGCAGCTGGAGGCCATCATCTTAAGCAAATTAATGCAGGAACAGAAAACCAAATGCTGCATGTTCTCACTTATAGGTGGAAGTTAAACTTTGGGTACATATGACATAAAGATGAGAACAATAGTCACTGGGGACTACTAGAGGGAGGATGAAGGGAGTGGGGAAAGGGCTGAAAAACTATTGGGTACTATGTTCAGTACCTGGGTGATGGGTTCAGTCATACCCAAACCTCAGCATCATGCAATATACCCACGTAACAAACCTGCACATGTACTCCTTGAATCTGAAACAAAAGTTGAAATTATTAAAAAAAGGTAGTTTCTATGCAGTAAAAAAGAAATATAATGTGAGCCATATCTGCACTTTTAAATTTTCTTATGCAAAAGAAATAGATGACATTGTACTAATATGTTTTTATTGAACCCAATATATCTAAAATATTTCCATATGTAGTCAATATAAAAAATTACCAATGAGATATTTTACAGTCTTGTTTTTAATACCAAGTCTTCAAAGTCTAATTTTACACTTATAGCATGTATTAGTTTGGAAGCTAAATTTTCATCAGAAATACTTGATCTGTATTTAGATTTCATAAATTTCATAAATTTATGGTTGAAAAGTACATTCACATACTCAATAACCAACTTAACTGTTGGTTTTTAAAATTAAATTTAAATTAATTTAATGAAATTAAAAAATTTTCCCAGTTGCATTAGCTGTATTTTAAATGCTCATTAGCTGTATGTGGCTATTGGACAGTGAAGCTCTAATGCCTGATTTTTCAAAATCTGTCTGCAAGTTAACCACTTCCTAGTTATTTGAACATGTTACTTAACCTTTCTAAATCTTGGTTTCCTTACTTTTCAAGTGAACTAGTAATATTATCTGGTTCATAGGAATAATTTGAAGGTTAAATCAGATAACCCATGTAATGCACATAACGCAGTGCATTGCACATACCAAGTGCTAATTTTGGGTTATTATTTTGACAATTAGAAACCTGGGGATGAGAACCAGGCAGGACTTAGGAAGAATGAAAAATCTGTCTTGAGCATCCTGACTTTGAGGTGAAGATGGTGAATCTAACTGAAGAAGAAGATTAGAATTTAGGTGAAGGGGTTATGCCCAGAGAAAGCACAGGAGAATAGAGCCTCATGGATGTTCTTATGACTGGCTATAGCAGGGATCATCCACTTTTCTTTCTTTCTCACTAGACTGTAAAGCATTTGATGTTTCCTAGATGTGATTAGTGCAACTTAGAAACTGATTAGATTTTGGCCGGGCACAGTGGCTCATGTCTGTAATCCCAGCACTTTGGGAGGCCAAGGCGGGGAGATCACCTGAGGTCAGGAGTTGGAGACCACCTGAGGTCAGGAGTTGGAGACCTGTCTGGCCAACATGGTGAAACCCCATCCTACTGAAAATACAAAAATTAATGAGGCCTGGTGGTGTACACCTGTAATCCCAGCTTCTCGGGAGGCTGAGGCAGGAGAATTGCTTGAACTCAGGAGGCAGAAGTTGCAGTGAGCCAAGATGGCACCGCTTCACTCCAGCCTGGGCAAGACTCTCCTAAAAAAAAAAAAAAAAAAAAAAAAAAAAAAAAAAACTGATTCGATTTTAACTGACTGGAATTGATCCTGCACAGAGTAGTCATTTAAGAAATGCCTATTAAATGAACAAATTGGAACCACCAAGGGACTAAATATAACAAGGGAATAGAAAATTGAATACCAAAAATAAATGTTTTAGAGGGCTTTGGCTGATTATTACCTGATCATATGCTTCTAAAATAATGACAGTTCAAGTGAACATTTTAGGCATACTCTCAGATATACCTTTCGATATGGATGAAAAGCATTAATTTTAGCTAAAAGTTTGGTGTATAAGAGTGACTCTGAGATATTAAAAATAAAATTCTTCATTCTCAAAAGGGCACTGTTATAATTCAAATTAATATAGTCTTTGTTGTTGTTGTTTCTTCTCATTATTTGCATTTTAAGCCCATCTCTATGTTTTGAGATTTTGAAGACTGTGAAAGTCATATGAAAGGTATAAAAAAGATTACCCGCTATTCCTCCCTCCTAACAAATCTTTCTCTCTCAACAGTTATGTGTCAGAGAATTCTATTAGTGGACAACGAAGAGGCAATCTAATTAGTGTGACGTCGTTTCCCCGTTTGGTGACACTTTTTAATAGCATTCTTCAGGCTATTTCATTTGACACTTTGGAACAGCTGCCAAGTCCTTTCCTGCTCCCTGTAAACAAGGCTGTCATTCACAGAGCTTTCCCTTACCTTGCGTAGGGAATGGAGGTTAATGACTTTGGAAATCAAAAACAGAACAGCCATCAAAAGGACTTTTAATACCAGGAGAATTATAGGAGAATAATTGAATCAAATAAAATAAGAATATAAATAGACCGTGTTACAAGCTGCATTTGTTAAAAGGTTTCCTATCAGTTGAAGTTTTGTGTTACCTGGGAAGAGTAATAAAAAGAAATAAAATAGATTGAAAATGGTTACCCTTGAGAAGCTATTTCTGACTTTTTGGCAGGATTCCCCTGTGGCTGCGGATGCCCATATAGTGTGTCTCATCCCTACTTTCTTTCAACTTCAATTCTGCTTTACAAGTAAGACTTCTGATAGTTTTTTTTCCCCTTAGAGTGTCTTTGATTTATCATTTAGTTTAGTGGTTAAAGAATGAGACAGGCATTTGTATCTAGGGAAATACTGACACTTTTAGGCTTCTGATAGGTGGCCTTTTTAGGTCAACTACTCTAAGAGGAATCAAGAGCATCTTTTTTTTTTTTTTTGGACAGATCCTGTTCAATCTGTATCTGAAGATACTAGAAACAGGAATGAGAAGAGTAGAGAAGGATATCGTTAGGATGTTTGTCTCCTCCAAATCCCATATTTAAATGTAATTCCCAATGTTGGAAGTGTTTGGATCATGGAGGGTGATCTCTTATGAATGGCTTAGGGCCATCACCTTGGTGATAAGTGAATTCTCACTCTGACTTCACGTGATATCTGGTTGTTTCAAAGAGTCTGGCCCCTCCCTTTCTCTCTCTCTTTTGCTCCCGCTCTCATCATGTGACATGCTGGCTCCCTGTCACCTTCCACCGTTATTGAAAACTTCCTGAAGCCTCACCAGAAGCCAGATGTTGGTGCCATGCTTCCTGTACAGCCTGCAGAACCCAGAGCCAATTAAACCTCTTTTCTTTGTAAGTTACCCAATTTCAGGTATTCCTTTAGAGCAACGCAAAAATGGCCTAATACAAGGACTTTTAAGAAAGAAATACAATCTCATACATACACATATACAAATACGCAGCTGATGGAGAAGGAAATGGAGAGATTTTGCATCACAGTGTTTAATAAGCTTCTTAAATGCAAGGCACGTTGATAACATATGTACCTTTTACAAAAGACAGGCCGGTTTGCTTATAAAGGTCTTTTGATTTTGTAGCTCTCAAACTGAATATTCTTTGATTCTATGAGTCTCATATGACATTATCATTAATTCAACAAATAGTAATAAGAGCTTAATATATTCAGAGTATTGTTCTAGACACTGGATTTAGAATAAAAAATGAAGAAGACGTGGTAATTTGCTTGCAGAGTTTGTATCTCTAGTAAGGGTAGAGATGCACTAGACAAATTTACAATTAAAAAGTTTAAAAAATGTATTTAAAAAAGGAGAGAAGAGGAAATCTGTTTAAGAAATTAGGTAATATTTAATCTCAAATAGGAGGAATAATAAGAAACTAATCTGGCAAAGAACCTGGTAGATGGAACAGGGGTGGCGGCTTACTTCAGGCAGATTGAAATTGGGGAAATTTTTAATGCAGCAACAGATAACTAATATACTATTACGTTCTTTCCACTCTACAAGTTGCCTATTTTCTGAGAGCTATTAAATATTTACCATTTACAATGGTAATTATGAAGGTGCAAGGTAGGAAATACCTTAATTTGCTCTAGTAAAGGAAAAGTCCATGTGATTATAGTTTATAAGTGGGGGAATGACACTGGGTGAGGGTGAAGATGTAGTCAGGGAGTTGTGAGCTTGTTATTGAGCTTAACAGTCTTTTTTTAGATGATTTTTCTGGCTACTGTGTGAAGAATGGATTAGTGGGAGGCAAAACTGAAAAAGGGAGCTATTAAGTATTATAGATGAAAGATGGTGGTGGCTAATAGTAGGTTGGCAACATTGAACATAGAAGTAAGTGCATGAATTCAAGACACATTTTGGAGGTAGACTATAGAGGACTTGTTATTGGGTTGAATATGGAGACAGGTCATGGGAGTAGAAGAAATCAAGGATAACACCCCAGCTAGTTTCAGGCTTGAGTATCTATGTGGATGGGGATGCCAGGGACAGTAATGTTTTGGGAATGAAGAGTTCTGTTGTAGACATGTTAAGTTTAACATGCATGTGTGGCAACTGGAGACCACAAATTAACTGTTGGATGTATGAATCAAGAGGCATAAATGTGGGATTCTTTGGCATTTATATGGATTTTCATGTGTTGGAAGTAGATGAGGAATTTGGAGTAGAGGAAAAAGATGGCATTGGACTGAATCCTGAGAAATAGTAACATTTATAAAGCAGGCAGAAGAGGAAGAGTCAGAAAAGGAGACTGAGCAGAAGTTGCCAGAGAGGTAGGAGGAAGACTGAGAAGGAGTGGTGTCCTAGGAACCAAGGGAGGAGAGTATGTTCATAGGATAGAATGACTACCTGATTGGATGTGGGATTAAGATAAAGATAAGGAAGCTTCCACTGTAAATGGTGAAAGATGATAATTAATACTGATAAATATAATATCAGTATAATAATGGGACCAAAACCCAACTAGAACGAATAAAGGCAAAAATGAAAGATGGCAAAACAGAGAAATCAAAAATAAACATCCGCCTTGGAGGTTTTGCCCAGGAAGATCAGATAAATGGGGTTAAGTAAGGGCATTTTTAGAATAGTGACATCAAGGCATATTGATATGTTTCTGAAATTAATATAAAGAGGGATGAATTGATGATGCAAGAGAGAGTAGAAACTATTGGAAGTAAAATTCTTTAGTAGTTGAGAGGGCATGGGGTATTAATGTATTGGCCATAGAGAGAAGCATGGATGGGACTTTGTGGATACAGATGCAGATTGATTGGCGGGTTTGGTGGGAAGAGAGTGAGAATGTCTTTGGTTGCTTCAATTTTCATAGTGAGGTCACTGATAATAATGACATGAATAAAGGGAAGAAGGAGACTTAAAGCCAGTGGCTAGAGTCTTTAAGACCAGAAGAACGTGAATGTCAGTAATAATAAACTTTTCCTTGAATATATCTCTCCTCTTGGATGTTTTGCTTCCACAGTGTAAAGGATAAAATATGCTAATTTTTTCTTCTCTATGATTTCCCTCCTGTCTGGCTTCCTGTCTGGCTCTTTGTTTTTTAGTAACATTAAAAGACTCTTGGGAAGTTTGACCAGAGCATATGGAGAAACACGAGTAGGTTCATTTACACTTAGCATAACCAGAGAGTTGAAAGTAGTGTCTACAGTATCCCTCTGCTTCAATGAACCTTTGGAGCCTCCACCAGAAGGAAAATGATATGACTGAATTTCATTGCCTTGTGGCAAAAGCAGTAAAAATTTACCTGAGAAGTTATCTCACGTTAAAATGCTATATCTTGCTCTTTTGATGTTGCAAAACAGACAGAAACTCCTAGAGTTAGGAGAAAAAAATTGACAAAAATATATAATGTTTAATTTTTTTCTTCTTAAATGGAGAAATGTAAATCAAAGTCAAACCCACACAGAGTGATTAACGTTTGAATTTTAGCCAATGCATCCTAGAAAACAATTGTAAATATAACAGTAGTTGTGTAAGAGGCAGGTTTTAGTGTAAAGAGCAAAAATATGTACTAGTTATCCATAATGGCATAACAGATTTCTGCAAACCCATAGCTTAAAATAATTTATTATTTCACTATTGGTGTGGATCAGGAATTAAGGAGTGGCTTAGCTGGATGATTCTGGGTCTTGGTCTCTCATGAGGTTTAATCAGGCTGAGGTTTTTAGCTGGGGCTGCAGTCTCATCTGAAAGCTCAAGCAGGGGAGGATATACTTCCAAGCTTACTCATGGAGTTGATAGCAGACCTCAGGCCCTGGGCACACAGGCCTCTTCATTATCTTCATGAATGTCATATGGCTTTCAGCTAGTTTCCCTGGAGTGAGTGATGGGAGAGGGAGGGAAGGGAGGAGGGGCCTACATAAAGATATGAATACCAAGAGATGAGAATCATTGGAGATGATTGTGGAGGCTGGCTATCACAGTGGTTTTCAAATATACAATATCCTCATCATTTGGCTGTGTAATTTTGGAGAATCAGTTAACATTTTTGAGATGCAATTTTCTCATTTGGTAGATCTCTAGCAACTTTTCTTACTCTAAAAAAAATTAGCCTATTCCCTAAACATTGTTTATACAGGTGGCTAAAAAGTGAAATTGCAGGTTTCATCTACCTACTTAACTATATATTTTTCAGTGTTGATGGATAACTTTGGCAATATTACAGAAAATTTATAAGGGAACGAATACTAGTCAATCAACCATAGAGAAGAGTTTCCAAATTCTGTGAAGATATTTTAAAGCAGAAGATTCAAAATGATATTTGAGAATAGTTAAACACCTGAATATCATTCATATTTAGGCTACTATTATCTTTTTTAAATAACAGATTCATTGAGATATATTTACATACTACATAATTTACCCACTTATAGTGTACAATTTAATGGTTTTTAGTACATTCACAGGAGTGACTTCCTCACAGTCAATTTTAAAACGTTTTCATCCTCCAAAAAGAAACTCCATACCCATTAGCAGTTGTTTCTCATCACAACTATCGTCTGCCACCATTAATATACTTTCATCTCTGTAGATCTGCCTTTTCTGGACTTTTCTTATAACTTGAATGTATAATAGCCACTCTTTTGTGTCTAGCTTCTTTAAGTTAGCATGTTTTCAAGATTCACCCATGTTGTAGTACATATTGGCGCTACATTCTCTTTATTGCTGAATAATACTCCATTGCAGGATACACCACATTTTACTTGTCCATTCAACAACGGATAAATGCATTGATGAATATGTGATTTGATTCCACTCTTTGGTTATTATGAATAATGTTGCTATGAACATTAGTATATAAGTTTTTGTGTGAACATACATTTTCATTTCTCCAGCATATATATTTAGGAGTGGAATTGCTGGTTCGTATGGTAATTCTGTGTTTAATATTTTGAGGAACTGTCAAACTGTTTTCCAAAGCAGTTGCACCATTTTACATTCCTCCCAGCAATGTATGAGACTCCAATTCTGCACATCAATGCCAACTGTTTTTGTCTGTCTTTTTCATTACAGTCATCCTAGTGGATGTGAAGTGGTATTTCCTTGCATTTCCCTAATGGCTAATAATGTTGAGCATCTTTTTATGTGCTTGTGGGCCATTTGTTATCTTCTTTGAATATATGTCTTTTGAAATCCTTTACCCATCTTCTTTTTACTTGGTTTAGTATATCTCTGTGTTTTCTTTTTTGATTTTTTAAAATAAATTTTGTTGTATATATTTAGGGTATACAACATGATCTTATGGGATACACATAGTAAAAAGATTACTATAATGAAGTAAATTAACATATCCATTATTTCACATAGTTACCCATTTTTTTTTGTGGTGAGAGCAGGTAAAATCTATTCATTTAGCATGAATCCCATATACAGCACACTTTTATTACCTATAGTCTTCACATGATACATTAAATCTCTAGACTTATTCATCCTACATGTCTTCTACTTCATATTTTCTTTCTTTATTATTATTATACTTTAAGTTTTAGGGTACATGTGCACAATGTGCAGGTGTGTTACATATGTATACATGTGCTATGATGGTGTGCTGCACCCATTAACTCGTCATTTAGCAGTACGTATATCACCTAATGCTATCTCTCCCCCCTCCCCCGACCTCACAACTGTCCCTGGTGTGTGATGTTCCCCTTCCTGTGTCCATGTGTTCTCATTGTTCAATTCCCACCTATGAGTGAGAACATGTGGTGTTTGGTTTTTTGTCCTCGTGATAGTTTGCTGAGAATGATGGTTTCCAGCTTCATCCATGTCCCTACAAAGGACGTGAACTCATCATTTTTTATGGCTGCATAGTATTCCATGGTGTATATGGGCCACATTTTCTTAATCCAGTCTATCATTGTTGGACATTTGGGTTGGTTCCAAGTCTTTGCTATTGTGAATAGTGCCGCAATAAACGTACGTGTGCATGTGTCTTTATAGCAGCATGATTTATAATCCTTTGGGTATATACACCCAGTAATTGGATGGCTGGGTCAAATGGTATTTCTAGTTCTAGATCCCCGAGGAATCACCACACTGACTTCCACAATGGTTGAACTAGTTTACAGTCCCACCAACAGTGTAAAATTGTTCCTATTTCTCCACATCCCCTCCAGCACCTGCTGTTTCCTGACTTTCTAATGATCGCCATTCTAACTGGTGTGAGATGGTATCTCATTTGTGGTTTTGATTTGCATTTCTCTGATGGCCAGCATTTTGTCATGTGTCTTTTGGCTGCATAAATGTCTTCTTTTGAGAAGTGTCTGTTCATGTCCTGCACCCACTTGTTGATGGGGTTGTTTGTTTTTTTCTTGTAAATTTGTTTGAGTTCATTGTAGATTCTGGATATTAGCCCTTTGTCAGATAAGTGGATTGCAAAAATTTTCTCTCATTCTGTATGTTGCCTGTTCACTCTGATGGTAGTTTCTTTTGCTGTGCAGAAGCTCTTTAATTTAATTAGATCCCATTTGTCAATTTTGGCTTTTGTTGCCATTGCTTTTGGTGTTTTAGACATGAAGTCCTTGCCCTTGCCTATGTCCTGAATGGTATTGTCTAGGTTTTCTTCTAGGGTTTTTATGGTTTTAGGTCTAACATTTAAGTCTTTAATCCATCTTGAATTAATTTTAGTATAAGGTGTAAGGAAGGGATCCAGTTTCAGCTTTCTACATATGGCTAGCCAGTTTTCCCAGCACCATTTATTAAATAGGGAATCCTTTCCTCATTTCTTGTTTTTGTCAGGTTTGTCAAAGATCAGATAGTTGTGGATATGTGGCATTATTTCTGAGGGCTCTGATCTGTTCCATTGGTCTATATCTCTGTTTTGGTACCAGTACCATGCTGTTTTGGATACTGTAGCCTTGTAGTATAGTTTGAAGTCAGGTAGTGTGATGCCTCCAGCTTTGTTCTTTTGGCTTAAGATTGACTTGGCAATGTGGGCTCTTTTTTGCTTCCATATGAGCTTTAAAGTAGTTTTTTCCAATTCTGTGAAGAAAGTCATTGGTAGCTTGATGGGGATGGCATTGAATCTATAAATTACCTTGGGCAGTATGGCCGTTTTCATGATATTGATTCTTCCTACCTACGAGCATGGAATATTCTTCCATTTGTTTGTATCCTCTTTTATTTCATTGAGCAGTGGTTTGTAGTTATCTTTGAAGAGGTCCTTCACATCCCTTGTAAGTTGGATTTCTAGGTATTTGATTCTCTTTGAAGCAATTGTGAATGGGAGTTCACTCATGATTTGGCTCTCTGTCTGTTATTGGTGTATAAGATTGCTTGTGATTTTTGCACATTGATTTTGTATCCTGAGACTTTGCTGAAGTTGCTTATCAGCTTAAGGAGATTTTGGGCTGAGATGATGGGGTTTTCTAGATACACAATCATGCCATCTGCAAACAGGGACAATTTGACTTTCTATTTTCCTAATTGAATGCCCTTTATTTCCTTCTCCTGCCTGATTGCCGTGGCCAGAACTTCCAACACTATGTTGAATAGGAGTGGTGAGAGAGGACATCCCTGTCTTGTGCACGTTTTCAAAGGAAATGCTTCCAGTTTTTGCCCATTCAGTATGATATTGGCCATGAGTTTGTCATAGATAGCTCTTATTATTTTGAGATACATCCCATCAATACCTAATTTATTGAGAGTTTTTAGCATGAAGCATTGTTGAATTTTGTCAAAGTCCTTTTCTGCATCTATTGAGATAATCATGTGGTTTTTGTCTTTGGTTCTGTTTATATGCTGGATTACATTTATTGATTTGCGTATGTTGAACCAGCCTTGCATCTCAGGGATGAAGCATACTTGATCATGGTGGATATGCTTTTTGATGTGCTGCTGGATTTGGTTTGCCAGTATTTTATTGAGGATTTTTGCATCAGTGTTCATCAAGGATATTGGTCTAAAATTCTCTTTTTTTGTTGTCTCTGCCAGGCTTTGGTATCAGGATGATACTGGCCTCATAAAATGAGTTAGGAAGGATTCCCTCTTTTTCTATTGATTGGAATAATTTCAGAAGGAATGGTACCAGCTCCTCCTTGTATCTCTGGTAGAATTTGGCTGTGAGTCCATCTGGTCCTGGACTTTTTTTGGTTGGTAAGCTATTAATTATTACCTCAATTTCGGAACCTGTTATTGGTCTCTTCAGAGATTCAATTTCTTCTTGGTGTAGTCTTGGGAGAGTGTAGGTATTGAGGAATTTATCCATTTCTTCTAGATTTTCTAGTTTATTTGTGTAGAGGTCTTTATAGTATTCTCTGATGGTAGTTTGCATTTCCGTGGGATTGGTGGTGATATCCCCTTTGTCATTTTTTATTGCATCTATTTGATTCTTCTCTCTTTTCTTCTTTACTAGTCTTGCTAGCAGTCTATCAATTTTGTTGATCTTTTCAAAAAACCAGATCCTGGATTCATTGATTTTTTGAAGGATTTTTTTTGTGTCTCTATTTCCTTCAGTTCTGCTCTGATCTTAGTTATTTCTTGCCTTCTGCTAGCATTTGAATTTGTTTGCTCTTGCTTCTCTAGTTCTTTTATTTGTGATGTTAGGGTGTCCATTTTAGATCTTTCCTGCTTTGTCTTGTGGGCATTTAGTTCTATAAATTTCCCTCACACACTGCTTTGAATGTGTCCCAGAGATTCTGGTATGTTGTGTCTCTGTTCTCATTGGTTTCAAAGAACATCTTTATTTCTGCCTTCATTTCATTATGTACCCAGTAGTCATTCAGGAACAGGTTGTTCAGTTTCCATGTAGTTGAGCAGTTTTGAGTGAGTTTCTTAATCCTGAGTTCTAGTTTGATTGCACTGTGGTCTGAGAGACAGTTTGTTTTAATTTCTGTTCTTTTACATTTGCTGAGGAGTGCTTTACTTCCAACTATGTGATCAATTTTGGAATAGGTGTGGTACTGAAAAGAATGTATGTTCTGTTGATTTGGGGTGGAGAGTTCTGTAGATGTCTATTAGGTCCACTTGGTGCAGAGTTGAGTTCAATTCCTGGATATCCTTGTTAAATTTCTGTCTGGTTGATCTTTCTAATGTAAACAGTGGGGTGTTAAAGTCTCCCATTATTATTGTGTGGGAGTCTAAATTTCTTTGTATGTCACTAAGGACTTGCTTTATGAATCTGGGTGCTCCTGTATTGGGTGCATATATATTTAGGGTAGTTAGTTCTTCTTGTTGAATTGATCCCTTTACCATTATGCAATGGTCTTCTTTGTCTCTTTTGATCTTTGTTGGTTTAAAGTCTGTTTTATTAGAGACTAGGATTGTAACCCCTGCCTTTTCTTCTTTTCCATTTGCTTGGTAGATCCTTCCTCCATCCCTTTATTTTGAGCCTATTTGTGTCTCTGCACATGAGATGGGTTTCCTGAATTCAGCACACTGATGGGTCTTGACTCTTTATCCAATTTGCCAGTCTGTGTCTTTTAATTGGAGCATTTAGCCCATTTACATTTAAGGTTAGTATTGTTATGTGTGGATTTGATCGTGTCATTATGATGTTAGCTGGTTATTTTGCTCGTTAGTTGATGCACTTTCTTCCCAGCCTTGATGGTCTTTACAATTTGGCATGTTTTTGCAGTGGCTGGTACTGGTTTTTCCTTTCCATGTTTAGTGCTTCCTTCAGGAGCTCTTTTAGGGCAGGCCTGGTGGTGACAAAATCCCTCAGCATGTGCTTTTCTGTAAAGGATTTTATTTCTCCTTAACTTATGAAGCTTAGTTTGGCTGGATAAGAAATTCTGGGTTGAAAATTCTTGTTTTTAAGAATGTTGAATATTTTCCCCCACTCTCTTCTGGCTTGTAGAGTTTCTGCCGAGAGATCCACTGTTAGTCTGATGGGCTTCCCTTTGTGGGTAGCCTGACCTTTCTCTCTGGCTGCCCTTAACATTTTTTCCTTCATTTCAACTTTGGTGAATCTGACAATTATGTGTCTTGGAGTTGCTCTTCTCGAGGAGTACCTTTCTGGTGTTCTCTGTATTTCCTGAATTTGAATATTGGCCTGCCTTGCTAGATTGGGGAAGTTCTCCTGGATAATATCCCACAGAGTGTTTTCCAACTTGGTTCTATTCTCCCCGTCACTTTGAGGTACACCAATTAGATGTAGATTTGGTCCTTTCACGTAGTCCCATATTTCTTGGAGGCTTTGTTCATTTCTTTTTGTTCTTTTTTTCTTTAAACTTATCTTCACGCTTCATTTCATTCATTTTGTCTTCCATCACTGACACCCTTTCTTCCAGTTCATTGCATCAGTTACTGAGGCTTGTGCATTCATCACGTAGTTCTCATGCCATGGTTTTCAGCTCCTTCAGGTCCTTTAAGGACTTCTCTGCATTGGTTATTCTAGTTATCCATTCATCTAATTATTTTTCAAAGTTTTTAACTTCTTTGCCATTGGTTCGAACTTCCTCCATTAGCTCAGAGTAGTTTTATCTTCTGAATCCTTCCTCTCTCAACTTGTCAAAGTCATTCTCCATCCAGCTTCATTCTGTTGTTGGTGAGGAGCTGCAGTCCTTTGGAGGAGGAGAGGCACTCCGATTTTCAGTGTTTCCAGTTTTTCTGCTCTGTCTTTTCCCCATCTTTGTGGTCTTATCTACCTTTGGTCTTTGATGATGGTGACGTACAGATGGGTTTTTGGTGTGGATGTCCTTTATGTTTGTTAGTTTTCCTTCTAAAAGTCAGGACTCTCAGCTGCAGTTCTGTTGGAGTTTACTGGAGGTCCACTCCAGACCCTGTTTGCCTGGGTATCACCAGTGGTGGCTGCAGAACAGCGGATATTGGTGAACCGCAAATGCTGCTGCCTGATCGTTCCTCTGGAAGTTTTGTCTCAGACGAGTACCCGGCCTTGTGAGGTGTCAGTCCACCCCTACTGGGGGCTGCCTCTCAGTTAGGCTACTTGGGGGTCAGGGACCAACTTAAGGAGGCAGTCTGGCCATTCTCAGATCTCAAGCTGCATGCTGGGAGAATCACTGCTCTCTTCAAAGCTGTCAGACAGGGACAATGAAGTCTGCAGGGGTTATTGCTGTCTTTTGTTTTTCTGTGCCCTGACCCCAGAGGTGGAGCCTACAGAGGCAGGCAGGCCTCCTTGAGCTGTGGTGGGCTCCACCCAGTTCGAGCTTCCCTGCAGCTTTGTTTACCTACTCAAACCTGAGTAATGGCGGGCACCCCTCCCCCGGCCACGCTGCCACCTTGCAGTTTGATCTCAGACTGCTGTGCTAGCAATGAGTGAGGCTCCGTGGGCATAGGACCCTCCAAGCCAGGCACACAATATAATCTCCTGGTGTGTCATTTGATAAGCCCATTGGAAAAGTGCAGTATTAGGGTGGGAGTGACCCGATTTTCCAGGTGCCATCCATCACCCCTTTCCTTGGCTAGGAAAGGGAATTCCCTGACCCCTTGTGCTTCCCAGGTGAGGCAATGCCTCGCCCTGCTTCAGCTCATGTGTGTTGCACTGCACCCACTGTCCTGCACCCACTGTCCAGCACTCCCCAGTGAGATGAACCCAGTACCTCAGTTGGAAA
>NC_000003.12:91282734-91291069 GCF_000001405.40 Homo sapiens | reverse complement strand
AGACTGGAGCTGTTCCTATTCGGCCATCTTGGCTCCACCCCCCTATTTCGTATTTTCTGACCTACATCTCCCATTTCCTTACCCACTACATGTCCTTGGCAACCACTGTTTCATTTTCTATTTCTGTATATTTGAATTTTTAAAAAATATTTCACATCTACATGAGATCATGCAATTATTTTTCTTCCTGTGTTTGGTTTATTTCACTTAGCATAATTTCTTTTAAGCTCATCCATGTTGTGATGAATGACAATATATCATTCTCTTTTTAGGGCTGAATAATATTCCATTGTATATATTTGCTACAGTTTAAACATTTGTCCATTGATGGCCATGTAGAATGTTTCCATATCTTGGCTGTTATCAGTAATGCAGTAAATATGAGAGTGCAGACATCTTTATGAAGTGGTGATTTCACTTGCTTTGGGTATATTCCCATAAGGGGGATTGATGATAGTTCTAATTTTAATTCCTTTAGTTGCCTCCATATTGTTTCTCATAATGGCTGTACCAAGCTACATTCCTACTGACAGTGTGTAAGAATTCCCTTTTCTCTTTACCTCACCAACATTTGTTATCTTTTGACTTTTTGACAATAACCATCATAACAGGTGTAATGTGGTATCTCATAGTGATTTTGATTTGCATTCCCCAATGATTAGTGATGTTAAGCACCTTTTCATATACCTCTTGGCCATTTTTATGTCTTCTCTGGGGAAATGTCTATTCAGATCCTTTGCCCATTTTAAAATCAGCTTATTTGTTTTTTTCCAGTATTGACTATATGAGTTCTTTATAAATTTTGATTATTAATTCCTTATCAGATTTATGGTTTGCAAATATTTTTTTCCAATCCATAAGCTGCCATTTCGTTTTGTTGGTTGTTTCTTTTATTATGTAGAAGCTCATACAAGTCTGGTTGAACATACACATATCAGTCAATGTGATACATCATATTTACAGAATGAAAGGTAAAAACCACATGATCACCTCAACTGACACTGAAAAAGCTTTTGACAAAGTCCAAAATTCTTTCTTGATAAAAACTCTCAACAGTGTTAAAAATAATAAATTCAGTAAAGATACAAAATGCAAGATGCAAAATGAATATAGCAAAATCAGTAGCATTTTTATATATGAATAATGATCTAACTGAAAAAGACATCAGGAAAGCAATTCCACTTATGATAGCATAAAAAATTCCTAGGAATAAATCTAAGCAAGGAATTAGGATATCTATACATTGAAAACTCTAAAGCACTGAAAGAAATTGATGAAGACACAAATAAATACAAAGATGTCCTGTGCTCATGGAGCAGAAGAATTAATATGATTAAAATGACCATATTACCCAAAGTAATCTACAGATTTAATGCAAGCCTTATCCAAATCCTAATGGCATTCTTCACAGAAATAGAAAAAAAAATCATAAATTTTATATGGAAATGTAAAAGACCCTGAATGGCCAAAAAAATTTTGAGAAAGAAAACACTGGAGGCACCACACTTCCTGATTTAAAATATTTTACAAAGCTATGGCTCATCACAACAGTTTTATGGTACTGACATAAAAACAGACCCATAGACCAGTGGAACAGAATAGAGAGCCCAGCAGCAAACCCAAATACATGTGGTCAACTAATTTTTGACAAAGACACCAAAAAAGAACAATGGGGAAAAGGACAATTTCTTCCAATAAATGGTGCTGGGAACGTTGAATTTCCACATGCAAAATAATAAAATTGGGGGCTGGGCATGGTTACTCACACCTGTAATCCCAGACTTTGGGAGGCTGAGGTGGGAGAATTGCTTGAGCCCAGGGGTTTAAGAACAGACTAGGTGACATAGTGAGACACCATCTATAAAAAAAAAAAATTAGCTGGGCATTGTAGCACGTTCCTTAGTTCCAGCTACTTGGCAGGCTGAGACCAAAGAATCGCTTAAGCCCAGGAATTCAAGGCTGTAGTGAGCTGTGATTGCACCACTGTGCTACACTCCAGCTTGGGTGACAGAGTGAGACCCTATCAAAAAAAAAAAAAAAAAAAGAAAAGAAAAGAAAAAAATGGAATCCTCATCTTACACCATATGCAAAAATCAACTCAAAATGGATAAAAGACCTAAATAAAAAAATTGATATTTGAGAATATTCAAACCACTGAACATCAGTCATATTTAGGCTATTTATTACATTTGAAACTATGAAACTCCTAGAAGAGACAGACTATAGGAGAAAAGCTCCTAGACATTGGCCTTGGCAGTGATGTTTTAGATTTTATACCAAAAGCTCAGGTCAGAAAAGCAAAAATAAATAAGTGGGACTACATCAAGCCTTTATCCGTTTTAAAATTGAATTATATGTATTTTTATTGTTGAATTGTAAGTCTTTTTTATAGATGCAGGATACATATGCCTAACAAGATTTGGTGGCATAATATGTGAAATTAAGGTTCAATATTATGTGCTGCCTTCACACTTGGAAAAATCGCAAGGGCCTCGAATAGCGTAACTGCAGGTTCTCCTCCCCATTCTGCTGCCATAGATAAGGTCCCCTAGAAATAGCCCTGCTTATGAAATGGACCAGATGTGGTTCCTGCTTATTCATGAGTGGCAGGTTTCAATTTCTTGCCAGTCCATGGGATTTTTCCAATAAGCCAATCACATCCTCTCATGGGAACCAGGGGACGTTGCATCCTCTTCATACTACAAAGTCAGCTTCCCACAGTCCCTGTCATTCACTCTGTTTCTGAGTAAACCTCTGTGTGGCCCTGTGTGGTGTGGTGTCCTCCTCCCCTGAGATATGAGTGCATGTGACTAACAAACTGCTGTCGATCTCCTCTTTCTGGTGGCGGAAGTTGGGCCATCCCCATTACTCTGGGGTGGGAATCCCTACTTTCACCAATGAGCTGAACAGGAGGCAATCAAAACAAATTTGCAAATATTTTTTCCCATTTTGTGTGTGGTCTTTCACTTCTTTGATAGTCTCATTTGAAGCATAAAAGTTTTGAATTTTGATGAAGTCCTATTTATCTTTTTGTTTTGTTTTGTTGGTGGTTGCTTGTGCTTTTGGTCCCATATCTAAGAAGGCTTTACTTAACCCCAAATCACATAGATGCACTCCTATGTTTTCTTCTAAGAATTTATAGTTTTAGCTCTTACATTTGGTTTGTGATCCATTTGGAGTTAATTTTAGTGTGTGGTATAAGAAATGGCTTCAACCTTATTCTTTTACATGTGGATATCCAGTTATTCAATACCATTTGTTGAAGAGTATTTTCCCCCACTGAATTATTTTGGCACCTCTGCCAAAAGTTGCCCATTACCTTTTGAATAGTTTTTCTATATTTGGAGAAGTTTCCATTTTTGAGTCCCACATTTCTGCTGTAGAGTCAAAACTTAAGTTTATAGCTTTTCTTGCAGCTAAATGTGAGCATGTGTCTGAGGATTCTGTTATCACATAAGCCCATGAAAGACTCTGATACATAGGAGAGCAATATGAGCAAACAGGCTCTAGGTGGAACCACCTACCTGCTGATGAAGTGGTGGCAATGGCTACAGGGTTCCCTAGTCTTTGATGGGCGCCATGGAAGTGGTGTTTGTTTCTTTAACAAGTCAGCTGTATCTTGTTTTTTTTGCATTATATCCAAGCTCATGCTTGGGCCTTGTTCTCCAACACTTCTATGGATTATCATATGTTTTTTCTTTTTGATTAATCAGCCAATGTCAGCTTCTGTTGTTCACAACCAGCAGCCTGGGTGATATGCACTTAATGGAAAAAGAAAATAGAATTTAAGGTAATAAATTGAACTTTAACTTTGCATAGAACATGGATTTGACAATTTCTACTGGCCTTTGTGATGGGGGTTTAGGGGACTTAGAAAACAGTGTCTCTTTCAAGCCAGTCAGATGCAATTGTCTGCTGCCAAATTAAAGAAAAGCAGTGGACTCTGCAATTAAATTTGCATAGATGCTTTATATTTTCATCTCTGACCAGCTTTGCTTCAGTTATTTTCCTGTTTCAGAACTTGAGCTCTATACCATAGTTAGGCCTGTATGACATTCTCAGACCTGGTTGTACAAGTAGGCTCCCTGGTTTGACTCATTTGACTTACATCTCTTCCTTGAAGAATGGGATGTGACAGACCTCTCTGGTCCTTCACATCTAAATTATCAGCCTGTTCATCAATCCGTTAAGACCCAATCCTTGGCTCCATGTAGCTTAGCAGGTTAAAGATTGGACCTGCCTAGCCAAACTCAATCCGTTTTGCTCTAGTTCTCTGGATTCAAGGGCATGCCAATTGCTATGTGAGGCAGAGAAAAGTTGTATCTCATGAAAAATGTCACATGGAGGAAATAAAACACTGACATTTGCTGGGAGATAACAGCTATAATGAGTCAATTGAAGGGGTGAGAGAGCAGTAAGCCACCTGGTACTTTCTGACCTCTCCTTGACAGAGACCCCCAGTTCTAATCCCTCTCCTTTCTCCTGTAAAAACTTTTCGATAAGCTAGACAAATGGCTTTGCTTCTTCATGCAGATTCAAATCCTTAAGAAACAGAGCCCACCATTTGTTAATGAATTCAAAGATTTGGTCTTTTTTATGTTCTATCTGTAAAGGGATTAAACTAAATAGGTTACCGAAATCCTCTCTTCCCTGGAAATTACATATTCTGTATTTCCTACTTCTCCTCTTCACTAAATTCACACTTCAGGGCTTGGAGCTACTTATATTGGCAACCTCAGTAGCTACAAATAATGATCTTGGCATAAGTTGTGGGGTGGATGGAGGAGGAGATTTCTTTAGAGATCTTGTGAAGATGTCAAGAATGTCTCCTTTATCCAAATCAGATAGCGTTCACTCGCGTCCATTTTTGAAACACTTTTTTGTGGAATTTGCAAGTGTATATTTAGAGCGTTTTGAGGCCTACAGTAGGAAAGGAAATATCTTCACATAAAAACTAGACAGAAGTATTGTCAGAAACTTATTTGCGATATTTGCATTCAAAGCACAGAGTTGAACATTCCTCTTGATGGAGCCGTTTTGAAACACTCTTTTTGTAGAATCTGCAAGTGGATATTTGGACCTCTTTGTGGCCTTCGTTTGAAACGTGATTTCTTCATTTACAACTAGACAGAAGAATTCTCAGAAACTTCTTTGTGATGTGTACTTTCAACTCACACAGTTGAAGCTTCCTTTCAATAGAGCACTTTTGAAACTCAGTTTTTGTAGAATTTCCAGGTGGATATTTAGCGCCGTTTGAGGCCTATGGTAGAAAAGGCAATATCTTCGTAGGAAAACTAGACAGAATGATTCTCCGAAACTACTTTGTGATGTGTGGGTTCAACTCACTGAGTTTAACCTTTCTGTTGATAGACCAGTTATGAAACACTCTTTTTATAGAATCTGCAAGTAAATATTTGGACTTTCTTGAGGCCTTCATTGGAAACGGGATTTCTTCATAGAAACCTTGACAGAAGAATTCTCAGGAACTTCTTTGTGATGTGTGCATTTAACTCTCAGAGTTCAACCTTCCTTTTGGTAGAAGAGTGTTGAAATATTCTATTTGTAGAATTTCCAAGTGAATATTTAGAGCGGTTTCAGGCCTATGTAGAAGAGAAAATATCTTCACAGAAAAACTAGACACAATTGTTCTCTGAAGCTACTTTGTGATGTGCGCATTCAGCTTACAGAGTTTAACCTTTCTTTGGATCGAGCGGTTTTAAACACTCTTTTTGTGGAATTTGCAATTCTATATTTAGAGTGCTTTCAGGCCTGTGGTACAAAAGGGAATGTCTTCACATAAAATCTAGACAGAAGCATTGTCGGAAACTACTTTGTGATACCTGCCTTCAACTCTCAGAGTTGAATATTCTTCTTGATGGAGCAGTTTTGAAAAACTCTTTTTGTTGAATCTCCAAGTGGATATTTGGACCTCTTTGTGGCCTTCGTTTGAAACGTGATTTCTTCATACAAAACTAGAAAGGAGAATTCTCATAAACTTCTTTGTGATGTGTGCTTTCAACTCGCAGAGTTGAAGCTTCCTTTCGATAGAGCACTCTTGTAACTCTCTTTTTGTAGAATTTCCAAGTGGATATTTAGCGCCGTTTGAGGCCTATGGTGGAAAAGGCAATATCTTCATAGAAAAACTAGACAGAATGATTCTCAGAAACTACTTTGTGATGTGTGCGTTCAACTCACAGAGTTTAACCTTTCTTTTGATAGAGCAGTTATGAAACACTCTTTTTGTAGAACTGCAAGTGTATATTGGGACTTTTCTGAGGCCATCTTTGGAAACGGGATTTCTTCCTATAAAACTTGAAAGAAGAATCCTCAGAAAATTATTTGTGATATGTGCATTTAACTCATGGAGTTGAAACTTCCTTTCGATAGAAGAGTTTTGAAATACTCTTTTTGTAGAATTTCCAAGTGGATTTTTACAGCGGTGTGAGGTCTATGGCAGAAAAAGAAATATCTTCACAGAAAAACTAGGCAGATTCATTCTCCGAAGCTGTTTTGTGATGCTTGCATTAGGCTTACAGAGTTTAAACTTCCTTTGATAGAGCAGTTTTGAAACACTCTTTTTGTGGAATTTGCAACTGTATATTTAGAGCGTTTTGAGGCCTACAGTAGGAAAGGAAATATCTTCACATAAAAACTAGACAGAAGTATTTTCAGAAACTTATTTGTGATATTTGCATGGAACGCACAGAGTTGAACATTCCTCTTGATGGAGTAGTTTTGAAACACTCTTTTTGTAGAATCTGCAAGTGGATATTTGGACCGCTTAGTGGCCGTCCTTTGAAACGTGATTTCTTCATTTACAACTAGACAGAAGAATTCTCAGAAACTTCTTTGTGATGTGTACCTTCAACTCACAGAGTTGAAGCTTCCTTTCAATAGAGCACTTTTGAAACTCAGTTTTTGTAGAATTTCCAGGTGGATATTTAGCGCCGTTTGAGGCCTATGGTAGAAAAGGCAATATCTTCGTAGGAAAACTAGACAGAATGATTCTCAGAAACTACTTTGTGATGTGTGGGTTCAACTCACTGAGTTTAACCTTTCTTTTGATAGACCAGTTATGAAACACTCTTTTTGTAGAATCTGCAAGTAAATATTTGGACTTTTTTGAGGCCTTCATTGGAAACGGGATTTCTTCATAGAAACCTTGACAGAAGAATTCTCAGAAACTTCTTTGTGATGTGCACCTTCAACTCACAGAGTTGAAGCTTCCTTTCAATAGAGCACTTTTGAAACTCAGTTTTTGTAGAATTTCCAGGTGGATATTTAGCGCCGTTTGAGGCCTATGGTAGAAAAGGCAATATCTTCGTAGGAAAACTAGACAGAATGATTCTCAGAAACTACTTTGTGATGTGTGGGTTCAACTCACTGAGTTTAACCTTTCTGTTGATAGACCAGTTATGAAACACTCTTTTTGTAGAATCTGCAAGTAAATATTTGGACTTTTTTGAGGCCTTCATTGGAAACGGGATTTCTTCATAGAAACCTTGACAGAAGAATTCTCAGAAACTTCTTTGTGATGTGTGCATTTAACTCTCAGAGTTCAACCTTCCTTTTGATAGAAGAGTGTTGAAATATTCGTTTTGTAGAATTTCCAAGTGAATATTTAGAGCGGTTTCAGGCCTATGTAGAAGAGAAAATATCTTCACAGAAAAACTAGACACAATTGTTCTCTGAAGCTACTTTGTGATGTGCGCATTCAGCTTACAGAGTTTAACCTTTCTTTGGATCGAGCGGTTTTAAACACTCTTTTTGTGGAATTTGCAATTCTATATTTAGAGTGCTTTCAGGCCTGTGGTACAAAAGGGAATGTCTTCACATAAAATCTAGACAGAAGTATTGTCGGAAACTACTGTGTGATACCTGCCTTCAACTCTCAGAGTTGAATATTCCTCTTGATGGAGCAGTTTTGAAAAACTCTTTTTGTTGAATCTCCAAGTGGATATTTGGACCTCTTTGTGGCCTTCGTTTGAAACGTGACTTCTTCATACAAAACTAGACAGAAGAATTCTCATAAACTTCTTTGGGATGTGTGCTTGCAACTCGCAGAGTTGAAGCTTCCTTTCGATAGAGCAGTCTTGTAACTCTCTGTTTGTAGAATTTCCAAGTGGATATTTAGCGCCGTTTGAGGCCTATGGTGGAAAAGGCAATATCTTCATAGAAAAACTAGACAGAATGATTCTCAGAAACTACTTTGTGATGTGTGCCTTCAACTCACAGAGTTTAACCTTTCTTTTGATAGAGCAGTTTTGAAAAACTCTTTTTGTAGAATCTGCAAGTGTATATTGGGACTTTTCTGAGGCCATCTTGGAAACGGGAT
>NC_000003.12:91276994-91282175 GCF_000001405.40 Homo sapiens | reverse complement strand
AACCTTCCTTTTGATAGAAGAGTGTTGAAATATTCTTTTTGTAGAATTCCCAAGTGAATATTTAGAGCGGTTTCAGGCCTATGTAGAAGAGAAAATATCTTCACAGAAAAACTAGACACAATTGTTCTCTGAAGCTTCTTTGTGATGTGCGCATTCAGCTTACAGAGTTTAACCTTTCTTTGGATCGAGCGGTTTTAAACACTCTTTTTGTGGAATTTGCAATTCTATATTTAGAGTGCTTTCAGGCCTGTGGTACAAAAGGGAATGTCTTCACATAAAATCTAGACAGAAGCATTGTCGGAAACTACTTTGTGATACCTGCCTTCAACTCTCAGAGTTGAATATTCCTCTTGATGGAGCAGTTTTGAAAAACTCTTTTTGTTGAATCTCCAAGTGGATATTTGGACCTCTTTGTGGCCTTCGTTTGAAACGTGACTTCTTCATACAAAACTAGACAGAAGAATTCTCATAAACTTCTTTGTGATGTGTGCTTTCAACTCGCAGAGTTGAAGCTTCCTTTCGATAGAGCAGTCTTGTAACTCTCTTTTTGTAGAATTTCCAAGTGGATATTTAGCGCCGTTTGAGGCCTATGGTGGAAAAGGCAATATCTTCATAGAAAAACTAGACAGAATGATTCTCAGAAACTACTTTGTGATGTGTGCCTTCAACTCACAGAGTTTAACCTTTCTTTTGATAGAGCAGTTTTGAAAAACTCTTTTTGTAGAACTGCAAGTGTATATTGGGACTTTTCTGAGGCCATCTTTGGAAACGGGATTTCTTCCTATAAAACTTGAAAGAAGAATCCTCAGAAAATTATTTGTGATATGTGCATTTAACTCATGGAGTTGAAACTTCCTTTCGATAGAAGAGTTTTGAAATACTCTTTTTGTAGAATTTCCAAGTGGATTTTTACAGCGGTGTGAGGTCTATGGCAGAAAAAGAAATATCTTCACAGAAAAACTAGGCAGATTCATTCTCCGAAGCTGTTTTGTGATGCTTGCCTTAGGCTTACAGAGTTTAAACTTTCTTTGATAGAGCAGTTTTGAAACACTCTTTTTGTGGAATTTGCAACTGTATATTTAGAGCGTTTTGAGGCCTACAGTAGGAAAGGAAATATCTTCACATAAAAACTAGACAGAAGTATTTTCAGAAACTTATTTGTGATATTTGCATGCAACGCACAGAGTTGAACATTCCTCTTGATGGAGCAGTTTTGAAACACTCTTTTTGTAGAATCTGCAAGTGAATATTTGGACCTCTTTGAGGCCTTCATTGGAAACGGGATTTCTTCATAGAAACTAGACAGAAGAATTCTCAGAAACTTCTTTGTGATATTTACCTTCAACTCACAGAGTTGAAGCTTCCTTTCAATAGAGCACTTTTGAAACTCAGTTTTTGTAGAATTTCCCAGGGTGGATATTTAGCGCCGTTTGAGGCCTATGGGTAGAAAAGGCAAATATCTTCGTAGGAAAACTAGACAGAATGATTCTCAGAAACTACTTTTGTGATGTGTGGGTTCAACTCACTGAGTTTAACCTTTTCTGTTGATAGACCAGTTATGAAACACTCTTTTTGTAGAATCTGCAAGTAAATATTTGGACTTTTTTGAGGCCTTCATTGGAAACGGGATTTCTTCATAGAAACCTTGACAGAAGAATTCTCAGAAACTTCTTTGTGATGTGTGCATTTAACTCTCAGAGTTCAACCTTCCTTTTGATAGAAGAGTGTTGAAATATTCGTTTTGTAGAATTTCCAAGTGAATATTTAGAGCGGTTTCAGGCCTATGTAGAAGAGAAAATATCTTCACAGAAAAACTAGACACAATTGTTCTCTGAAGCTACTTTGTGATGTGCGCATTCAGCTTACAGAGTTTAACCTTTCTTTGGATCCAGCGGTTTTAAACACTCTTTTTGTGGAATTTGCAATTCTATATTTAGAGTGCTTTCAGGCCTGTGGTACAAAAGGGAATGTCTTCACATAAAATCTAGACAGAAGTATTGTCGGAAACTACTGTGTGATACCTGCCTTCAACTCTCAGAGTTGAATATTCCTCTTGATGGAGCAGTTTTGAAAAACTCTTTTTGTTGAATCTCCAAGTGGATATTTGGACCTCTTTGTGGCCTTCGTTTGAAACGTGACTTCTTCATACAAAACTAGACAGAAGAATCTCATAAACTTCTTTGGGATGTGTGCTTGCAACTCGCAGAGTTGAAGCTTCCTTTCGATAGAGCAGTCTTGTAACTCTCTGTTTGTAGAATTTCCAAGTGGATATTTAGCGCCGTTTGAGGCCCTATGGTGGAAAAGGCAATATCTTCATAGAAAAACTAGACAGAATGATTCTCAGAAACTACTTTGTGATGTGTGCCTTCAACTCACAGAGTTTAACCTTTCTTTTGATAGAGCAGTTTTGAAAAACTCTTTTTGTAGAATCTGCAAGTGTATATTGGGACTTTTCTGAGGCCATCTTTGGAAACGGGATTTCTTCCTATAAAACTTGAAAGAAGAATCCTCAGAAAATTATTTGTGATATGTGCATTTAACTCATGGAGTTGAAACTTCCTTTCGATAGAAGAGTTTTGAAATACTCTTTTTGTAGAATTTCCAAGTGGATTTTTACAGCGGTGTGAGGTCTATGGCAGAAAAAGAAATATCTTCACAGAAAAACTAGGCAGATTCATTCTCCGAAGCTGTTTTGCGATGCTTGCATTAAGCTTACAGAGTTTAAGCTTCCTTTGATAGAGCAGTTTTGAGACACTCTTTTTGTGGAATTTGCAAGTGTATATTTAGAGCGTTTTGAGGCCTACAGTAGGAAAGGAAATATCTTCACATAAAAACTAGACAGAAGTATTGTCAGAAACTTATTTGTGATATTTGCATTCAACGCACAGAGTTGAACATTCCTCGTGATGGAGCAGTTTTGAAACACTCTTTTTGTAGAATCTGCAAGTGAATATTTGGACCTCTTTGTGGCCTTCGTTTGAAACGTGATTTTTTCATTTACAACTAGACAGAAGAATTCTCAGAAACTTCTTTGTGATGTGTACCTTCAACTCACAGAGTTGAAGCTTCCTTTCAATAGAGCACTTTTGAAACTCAGTTTTTGTAGAATTTCCAGGTGGATATTTAGCGCTGTTTGAGGCCTATGGTAGAAAAGGCAATATCTTCATAGGAAAACTAGACAGAATGATTCTCAGAAACTACTTTGTGATGTGTGGGTTCAACTCACTGAGTTTAACCTTTCTTTTGATAGACCAGTTATGAAACACTCTTTGTGTAGAATCTGCAAGTAAATATTTGGACTTTTTTGAGGCCTTCATTGGAAACGGGATTTCTTCATAGAAACCTTGACAGAAGAATTCTCAGAAACTTCTTTGTGATGTGTGCATTTAACTCTCAGAGTTCAACCTTCCTTTTGATAGAAGAGTGTTGAAATATTCTTTTTGTAGAATTTCCAAGTGAATATTTAGAGCGGTTTCAGGCCTATGTAGAAGAGAAAATATCTTCACAGAAAAACTAGACACAATTGTTCTCTGAAGCTACTTTGTGATGTGCGCATTCAGCTTACAGAGTTTAACCTTTCTTTGGATAGAGCGGTTTTAAACACTCTTTTTGTGGAATTTGCAATTCTATATTTAGAGTGCTTTCAGGCCTGTGGTACAAAAGGGAATGTCTTCACATAAAATCTAGACAGAAGCATTGTCGGGAACTACTTTGGGATACCTGCCTTCAACTCTCAGAGTTGAATATTCCTCTTGATGGAGCAGTTTTGAAAAACTCTTTTTGTTGAATCTCCAAGTGGATATTTGGACCTCTTTGTGGCCTTCGTTTGAAACGTGACTTCTTCATACAAAACTAGACAGAAGAATTCCCATAAACTTCTTTGTGATGTGTGCTTTCAACTCGCAGAGTTGAAGCTTCCTTTCGATAGAGCAGTCTTGTAACTCTCTTTTTGAAGAATTTCCAAGTGGATATTTAGTGCCGTTTGGGGCCTATGGTGGAAAAGGCAATATCTTCATAGAAAAACTAGACAGAATGATTCTCAGAAACTACTTTGTGATGTGTGCCTTCAACTCACTGAGTTTAACCTTTCTTTTGATAGAGCAGTTTTGAAAAACTCTTTTTGTAGAATCTGCAAGTGTATATTGGGACTTTTCTGAGGCCATCTTTGGAAACGGGATTTCTTCATATAAAACTTGAAAGAAGAATCCTCAGAAAATTATTTGTGATATGTGCATTTAACTCATGGAGTTGAAACTTCCTTTCGATAGAAGAGTTTTGAAATACTCTTTTTGTAGTATTTCCATGTGGATTTTTACAGCGGTGTGAGGTCTATGGCAGAAAAAGAAATATCTTCACAGAAAAACTAGGCAGATTCATTCTCCGAAGCTGTTTTGTGATGCTTGCATTAAGCTTACAGAGTTTAAGCTTCCTTTGATAGAGCAGTTTTGAAACACCCTTTTGTGGAATTTGCAAGTGTATATTTAGAGCGTTTTGAGGCCTACAGTAGGAAAGGAAATATCTTCACATAAAAAATAGACAGAAGTATTGTCAGAAACTTATTTGTGATATTTGCATTCAACGCACAGAGTTGAACATTCCTCGTGATGGAGCAGTTTTGAAACACTCTTTTTGTAGAATCTACAAGTGAATATTTGGACCTCTTTGTGGCCTTCGTTTGAAACGTGATTTATTCATTTAAAACTAGACAGAAGAATTCTCAGAAACTACTTTGTGATGTGTACATTCAACTCACAGACTTGAAGCTTCCTTTCAATAGAGCAATTTTGAAACTCAGTTTTTGTAGAATTTCCAGGTGGATATTTAGCGCTGTTTGAGGCCTATGGTAGAAAAGGCAATATCTTCATAGGAAAACTAGACAGAATGATTCTCAGAAACTACTTTGTGATGTGTGGGTTCAACTCACTGAGTTTAACCTTTCTTTTGATAGACCAGTTATGAAACATTCTTTGTGTAGAATCTGCAAGTAAATATTTGGACTTTTTTGAGGCCTTCATTGGAAACGGGATTTCTTCATATAAACCTTGACAGAAGAATTCTCAGAAACTTCTTTGTGATGTGTGCATTTAACTCTCAGAGTTCAACCTTTCTTTTGATAGAAGAGTGTTGAAATATTCTTTTTGTAGAATTTCCAGTGAATATTTAGAGCGGGTTCAGGCCTAT
>NC_000003.12:91260180-91265381 GCF_000001405.40 Homo sapiens | reverse complement strand
GAAACTTATTTGTGATATTTGCATTCAACGCACAGAGTTGAACATCCTCTTGGGGAGCAGTTTGAAACACTCTTTTTGTAGAATCTGCAAGTGGATATTTGGACCTCTTTGTGGCCTTCGTTTGAAACGTGATTTCTTCATTTACAAGTAGACAGAAGTATTCTCAGAAACTTCTTTGTGATGTGTACCTTCAACTCACAGTGGTGAAGCTTCCTTTCAATAGAGCACTTTTGAAACTCAGTTTTTGTAGAATTTCCAGGTGGATATTTAGCGCCGTTTTAGGCCTATGGTAGAAAAGGCTATATCTTCGTAGGAGAACTAGACAGAATGATTCTCAGAAACTACTTTGTGATGTGTGGGTTCAACTCACTGAGTTTAACCTTTCTTTTACTAGACCAGTTATGAAACACTCTTTTTGTAGAATTTGCAAGTAAATATTTGGACTTTTTTGAGGCCTTCATTGGAAACGGGATTTCTTCATAGAAACCTTGACAGAAGAATTCTCAGAAACTTCTTTGTGATGTGTGCATTTTACTCTCAGAGTTCAACCTTCCTTTTGATAGAAGAGTGTTGAAATATTCTTTTTGTAGAATTTCCAAGAGTATATTTAGAGCGGTTTCAGGCCTATGTAGAAGAGAAAATATCTTCACAGAAAAACTAGACACAATTGTTCTCTGAAGCTACTTTGTGATGTGCGCATTCAGCTTACAGAGTTTAACCTTTCTTTGGATCGAGCGGTTTTAAACACTCTTTTTGTGGAATTTGCAATTCTATATTTAGAGTGCTTTCAGGCCTGTGGTACTAAAGGGAATGTCTTCACATAAAATCTATACAGAAGCATTGTCGGGAACTACTTTGGGATACCTGCCTTCAACTCTCAGAGTTGAATATTCCTCTTGATGGACCATTTTTGAAAAACTCTTTTTGTTGAATCTCCAAGTGGATATTTGGACCTCTTTGTGGCCTTCGTTTGAAACGTGACTTCTTCATAGAAAACTAGACAGAAGAATTCTCATAAACTACTTTGTGATGTGTGCCTTCAACTCACAAAGTTTAAACTTTCTTTTGATAGAGCAGTTTTGAAAATCTCTTTTTGTAGAATCTGCAAGTGTATATTGGGACTTTTCTGAGGCCATCTTTGGAAACTGGATTTCTTCATATAAAACTTGAAAGAAGAATCCTCAGAAAATTATTTGTGATATGTGCATTTAACTCATGGAGTTGAAACTTCCTTTCGATAGAAGAGTTTTGAAATACTCTTTTTGTAGAATTTCCAAGTGGATTTTTACAGCGGTGTGAGGTCTATGGCAGAAAAAGAAATATCTTCACAGAAAAACTAGGCAGATTCATTCTCCGAAGCTGTTTTGTGATGCTTGCATTAGGCTTACAGAGTTTAAAGTTCCTTTGATAGAGCAGTTTTGAAACACTCTTTTTGTGGAATTTGCAAGTGTATATTTAGAGCGTTTTGAGGCCTACAGTAGGAAAGGAAATATCTTCACATAAAAACTAGACAGAAGTATTGTCAGAAACTTATTTGTGATATTTGCATTCAACGCACAGAGTTGAACATTCCTCTTGATGGAGCACTTTTGAAACACTCTTTTTGTAGAATCTGCAAGTGTATATTTGGACCTCTTTGTGGCCTTCGTTTGAAACGTGATTTCTTCATTTACAACTATACTGAAGAATTCTCAGAAACTTCTTTGTGATGTGTACCTTCAACTCACAGAGTTGAAGCTTCCTTTCAATAGAGCACTTTGAAACTCAGTTTTTGTAGAATTTCCAGGTGGATATTTAGCGCCGTTTGAGGCCTATGGTAGAAAAGGCCATATCTTCGTAGGAAAACTAGACAGAATGATTCTCAGAAACTACTTTGTGATGTGTGCATTCAACTCACTGAGGTTAACCTTTCTTTGGATAGACCAGTTATGAAACACTCTTTTTGTAGAATCTGCAAGTAAATATTTGGACTTTCTTGAGGCCTTCATTGGAAACGGGATTCCTTCATAGAAACCTTGACAGAGGGATTCTCAGAAACTTCTTTGTGATGTGTGCATTTAACTCTCAGAGTTCAACCTTCCTTTTGATAGAAGAGTGTTGAAATATTCTTTTTATAGAATTTCCAGGTGAATATTTAGAGCAGTTTCAGGCCTATGTAGAAGAGAAAATATCTTCACAGAAAAACTAGACACAATTGTTCTCTGAAGCTACTTTGTGATGTGCGCATTCACCTTACAGGGTTTAACCTTTCTTTGGATCGAGCGGTTTTAAACACTCTGTTTGTGTATTTTGCAATTCTATATTTAGAGTGATTTCAGGCCTGTGGTACAAAAGGGAATGTCTTCACATAAAATCTAGACAGAAGCATTGTCGGAAACTACTTTGTGATACCTGCCTTCAACTCTCAGAGTTGAATATTCCTCTTGATGGAGCAGTTTTGAAAAAGTCTTTTTGTTGAATCTACAAGTGGATATTTGGACCTCTTTGTGGCCTTCGTTTGAAAAGTGACTTCTTCAAACAAAACTAGACAGAAGAATTCTCATAAACTTCTTTGGGATGTGTGCCTGCAACTCGCAGAGTTGAAGATTCCTTTCGATAGAGCAGTCTTGTAACTCTCTTTTTGTAGAATTTCCAAGTGGATATTTAGCGCCGTTTGAGGCCTATGGTGGAAAAGGCAATATCTTCATAGAAAAACTAGACAGAATGATTCTCAGAAACTAATTTGTGATGTGTGCCTTCAACTCACAGAGTTTAACCTTTGTTTTGATAGAGCAGTTTTGAAAAACTCTTTTTGTAGAATCTGCAAGTGTATATTGGGACTTTTCTGAGGCCATCTTTGGAAACGGGATTTCTTCATATAAAACTTGAAGGAAGAATCCTCAGAAAATTATTTGTGATATGTGCATTTAACTCATGGAGTTGAAACTTCCTTTCGATAGAAGAGTTTTGAAATACTCTTTTTGTAGAATTTCCAAGTGGATTTTTACAGCGGTGTGAGGTCTATTGCAGAACAAGAAATATCTTCACCGAAAAACTAGGCAGATTCATTCTCCGAAGCAGTTTTGTGATGCTTGCATTAAGATTACAGAGTTTAAAATTCCTTTGATAGAGCAGTTTTGAAACACTCTTTTTGTGGATTTTGCAAGTGTATATTTAGAGCGTTTTCAGGCCTACAGTAGGAAAGGAAATATCTTCACATAAAAACTAGACAGAATTATTGTCAGAAACTTATTTGTGATATTTGCATTCAACGCACAGAGTTGAACATTCCTCTTGATGGAGCCGTTTTGAAACACTCTTTTTGTAGAATCTGCAAGTGGATATTTGGACCTCTTTGTGGCCTTCGTTTGAAACGTGATTTCTTCATTTACAACTAGACAGAAGAATTTTCAGAAACTTCTTTGTGATGTGTACCTTCAACTCACAGAGTTGAAGCTTCCTTTCAATAGAGCACTTTGAAACTCAGTTTTGGTAGAATTTCCAGGTGGATATTTAGCGCCGTTTGAGGCCTATGGTAGAAAAGGCCATATCTTCGTAGGAAAACTAGACAGAATGATTCTCAGACACTACTTTGTGATGTGTGGGTTCAACTCACTGAGTTTAACCTTTCTTTTGATAGACCAGTTATGAAACACTCTTTTTGTAGAATCTGCAAGTAAATATTTGGACTTTCTTGAGGCCTTCATTGGAAACGGGATTTCTTCATATAAGCCCTTAACAGAAGAATTCTCAGAAACTTCTTTGTGATGTGTGCATTTAACTCTCAGATTTCAACCTTCCTTTTGATAGAAGAGTGTTGAAATATTCTTTTTGTAGAATTTCCAAGAGTATATTTAGAGCGGTTTCAGGCCTATGTAGAAGAGAAAATATCTTCACAGAAAAACTAGACACAATTGTTCTCTGAAGCTACTTTGTGATGTGCGCATTCAGCTTACAGAGTTTAACCTTTCTTTGGATCGAGCGGTTTTAAACACTCTTTTTGTGGAATTTGCAATTCTATATTTAGAGTGCTTTCAGGCCTGTGGTACTAAAGGGAATGTCTTCACATAAAATCTACACAGAAGCATTGTCGGAAACTACTTTGTGATACCTGCCTTCAACTCTCAGAGTTGAATATTCTTCTTGATGGAGCAGTTTTGAAAAACTCTTTTTGTTGAATCTCCAAGTGGATATTTGGACCTCTCTGTGGCCTTCGTTTGAAACGTGACTTCTTCATAGAAAACTAGACAGAAGAATTCTCATAAACTTCTTTGGGATGTGTGCTTGCAACTCACAGTGTTGAAGCTTCCTTTCGATAGAGCATTCTTGTAAGACTCTTTTTGTAGAATTTCCAAGTGGATATTTAGCGCCGCTTGAGGCCTATGGTGGAAAAGGCAATATCTTCATAGAAAAACTAGACAGAATGATTCTCAGAAACTAATTTGTGATGTGTGCCTTCAACTCACAGAGTTTAACCTTTGTTTGATAGAGCAGTTTTGAAAAACTCTTTTTGTAGAATCTGCAAGTGTATATTGGGACTTTTCTGAGGCCATCTTTGGAAACGGGATTTCTTCATATAAAACTTGAAGGAAGAATCCTCAGAAAATTATTTGTGATATGTGCATTTAACTCATGGAGTTGAAACTTCCTTTCGATAGAAGAGTTTTGAAATACTCTTTTTGTAGAATTTCCAAGTGGATTTTTACAGCGGTGTGAGGTCTATTGCAGAACAAGAAATATCTTCACCGAAAAACTAGGCAGATTCATTCTCCGAAGCTGTTTTGTGATGCTTGCATTCAGCTGACAGAGATTAAACTTCCTTTGATAGAGCAGTTTGGAAACACTCTTTTTGTGGTGTTTGCAAGTGTTTATTTAGAGCGTTTTGAGGCCTACAGTAGGAAAGGAAATATCTTCACATAAAAACTAGACAGAAGTATTGTCAGAAACTTATTTGTGATATTTGCATTCAACGCCCAGAGTTGAACATTCCTCTTGATGGAGCCGTTTTGAAACACTCTTTTTGTAGAATCTGCAAGTGGATATTTGGACCTCTTTGTGGCCTTCGTTTGAAACGTGATTTCTTCATTTACAACTAGACAGAAGAATTCTCAGAAACTTCTTTGTGATGTGTACCTTCAACTCACAGAGTTGAAGCTTCCTTTCAATAGAGCACTTTGAAACTCAGTTTTTGTAGAATTTCCAGGTGGATATTTAGCGCCGTT
>NC_000003.12:91256421-91257890 GCF_000001405.40 Homo sapiens | reverse complement strand
GAGCACTTTTGAAAATCAGTTTCTGTAGAATTTCCAGGTGGATATTTAGCGCCGTTTGAGGCCTATGGTAGAAAAGGCCATATATTTGTAGGAAAACTAGACAGAATGATTCTCAGACACTACTTTGTGTTGTGTGGGTTCAACTCACTGAGTTTAACCTTTCTTTTGATAGACCAGTTATGAAACACTCTTTTTGTAGAATCTGCAAGTAAATATTTGGACTTTCTTGAGGCCTTCATTGGAAACGGGATTTCTTCATATAAACCTTGGCAGAAGAATTCTCAGAAACTTCTTTGTGATGTGTGCATTTAACTCTCAGAGTTCAACCTTCCTTTTGATAGAAGAGTGTTGAAATATTCTTCTTGTAGAATTTCCAAGTGAATATTTAGAGCGGTTTCAGGCCTATGTAGAAGAGAAAATGTCTTCACAGAAAAACTAGACACATTTGTTCTCTGAAGCTACTTTGTGATTTGTGCATTCAGCTTACAGAGATTAACCTTTCTTTGGATCGAGCGGTTTTAAACACTCTTTTTGTGGAATTTGCAATTCTATATTTAGAGTGCTTTCAGGCCTGTGGTACAAAAGGGAATGTCTTCACATAAAATCTAGACAGAAGCATTGTCGGAAACTACTTTGTGATACCTGCCTTCAACTCTCCGAGTTGAATATTCCTCGTGATGGAGCAGTTTTGAAAAACTCTTTTTGTTGAATCTCCAAGTGGATATTTGGGCCTCTTTGTGGTCTTCGTTTCAAACGTGACTTCTTCATACAAAACTAGACAGAAGAATTCTCATAAACTACTTTGGGATGTGTGCTTGCAACTCGCAGAGTTGAAGCCTTCTTTTGATAGAGCAGTCTTGTAACTCTCTTTTTGTAGAATTTCCAAGTGGATCTTTAGCGCCGTTTGAGGCCTATGGTGGAAAAGGCAATATCTTCATAGAAAAACTAGACAGAATGATTCTCAGAAACTACTTTGTGATGTGTGCCTTCAACTCACAGAGTTTAACCTTTCTTTTGATAGAGCAGTTTTGGAAAACTCTTTTTGTAGAATCTGCAAGTGTTTATTGGGACTTTTCTGAGGCCATCTTTGGAAACGGGATTTCTTCATATAAAACTTGAAAGAAGAATCCTCAGAAAATTATTTGTGATATGTGCATTTAACTCATGGAGTTGAAACTTCCTTTCGATAGAAGAGTTTTGAAATACTCTTTTTGTAGAATTTCCAAGTGGATTTTTACAGCGGTGTGAGGTCTATGGCAGAAAAAGAAATATCTTCACAGAAAAACTAGGCAGATTCATTCTCCGAAGCTGTTTTGTGATGCTTGCATTAAGCTTACAGAGTTTAAAGTTCCTTTGATAGAGCAGTTTTGAAACACTCTTCTTGTGGAATTTGCAAGTGTATATTTAGAGCGGTTTGAGGCCCACAGTAGGAAAGGAAATATCTTCACATAAAAACTAGACAGAAGTAT
>NC_000003.12:91247722-91249905 GCF_000001405.40 Homo sapiens | reverse complement strand
AATTGTTCTCTGAGCCACTTTGTGAAGTGCGCATTCAGCTGACAGAGTTTAAGCTTTCTTTGCATAGAGCGGTTTTAAACACTCTTTTTGGGGAATTTGCAATTCTATATTTATAGTGCTTTCAGGCCTGTCGTACAAAAGGGAATGTCTTCACATAAAATGTAGACCGAAGCATTTTCGGAAACTACTTTGTGATACCTGCCTTCAACTCTCAGAGTTGAATATTCCTCTTGATGGAGCAGTTTTGAAAAACTCTTTTTGATGAATCTCCAAGTGGACCTTTGGACCTCTTTGTGGCCTTCGTTTGAAACGTGACTTCTTCATACAAAACTAGACAGAAGAATTCTCATAAACTTCTTCGTGATGTGTGCTTTCAACTCGCTGAGTTGAAGCTTCCTTTCGACAGAGCAGTCTTGTAACTCTCTTTTTGTAGAATTTCCAAGGGGATATTTAGCGCCGTTTGAGGCCTATGGTGGAAAAGGCAATATCTTCATAGAAAAACTAGACAGAATGATTCTCAGAAACTACTTTGTGATGTGTGCCTTCAACTCACAGAGTTCAACCTTTCTTTTGATAGAGCAGTTTTGAAAAACTCTTTTTGTAGAATCTGCAAGTGTATATTGGGACTTTTCTGAGGCCATCTTTGGATACGGGATTTCTTCATATAAAACTTGGAAGAAGAATCCTCAGAAAATTATTTGTGATATGTGCATTTAACTCATGGAGTTGAAACTTCCTTTTGATAGAAGAGTTTTGAAATACTCTTTTTGTAGAATTTCCAAGTGGATTTTTACAGCGGTTTGAGGTCTATGGCAGAAAAAGAAATATCTTCACAGAAAAACTAGGCAGATTCATTCTCCGAAGCTGTTTTGTGATGCTTGCATTAAGCTTACAGAGTTTAAACTTCCTTTGATAGAGCAGTTTGGAAACACTGTTTTTGGAGAATTTGCAAGTGTATATTTAGAGCGTTTTGAGGCCTACAGTAGGCAAGGAAATATCTTCACATAAAAACTAGACAGAAGTATTGTCAGAAACTTATTTGTGATATTTGCATTCAACGCACCGAGTTGAACATTCCTCTTGATGGAGCAGTTTTGAAACACTCCTTTTGTAGAATCTGCAAGTGGATATTTGGACCTCTTTGTGGCCTTCGTTTGAAACGTGATTTCTTCATTTACAACTAGACAGAAGAATTCTCAGAAACTTCTTTGTGATGTGTACCTTCAACTCACAGAGTTGAAGCTTCCTTTCAACAGAGCACTTTTTAAACTCAGTTTTTGAAGAATTTCCAGGTGGATATTTAGCGCCGTTTGAGGCCTATGGTAGAAAAGGCAATATCTTCGTAGGAGGACTAGACAGAATGTTTCTCAGAAGCTACTTTGTGATGTGTGGGTTCAACTCACTGAGTTTAACCTTTCTTTTGATAGACCAGTTATGAAACACTCTTTTTGTAGGATCTGCAAGTAAATATTTTGACTTTTTTGAGGCCTTCATTGGAAACGGGGTTTCTTCATATAAACCTTGACAGAAGAATTCTCAGACACTTCTCTGTGATGTGTGCGTTTAACTCTCAGAGTGCATCCTTCCTTTTGATAGAAGAGGGTTGAAATATTCCTTTTGAAGAATTTCCAAGTGAATATTTGGAGCGGTTTCAGGCCTATGTAGAAGAGAAAATATCTTCACAGAAAAACTAGACATAATTGTTCTCTGAAGCCACTCTGTGATGTGCGCATTCAGCTGACAGAGTTTAAGCTTTCTTTGGATAGATCGGATTTAAACACTCTTTTTGTGGAATTTGCAATTCTATATTTAGAGTGCTTTCAGGCCTGTGGTACGAAAGGGAATGTCTTCACATAAAATCTAGACAGAAGCATTGTCGGAAACTACTTTGTGATACCTGCCTTCAACTCTCAGAGTTGAATATTCCTCTTGATGGAGCAGTTTTGAAAAACTCTTTTTGTTGAATCTCCAAGTGGACATTTGGACCTCTTTGTGGCCTTCGTTTGAAACGTGACTTCTTCATACAAAACTAGACAGAAGAATTCTCATAAACTTCTTCTTGATGTGTGCTTTCAACTCGCTGAGTTGAAGCTTCCTTTCGACAGAGCAGTCTTGTAACTCTCTTTTTGTAGAATTTCCAAGGGGATATTTAGCGCCGTTTGAGGCCTATGGTGGAAAAGGCA
>NC_000003.12:91233686-91247622 GCF_000001405.40 Homo sapiens | reverse complement strand
TCTGTCAAGGTTTATATGAAGAGATCCCGTTTCCAATGAAGGCCTCAAAAAAGTCCAAATATTTACTTGCAGATTCTACAAAAAGAGTGTTTCATAACTGGTCTATCAAAAGAAAGGTTAAACTCCGTGAGTTGAACGCACACATCACAAAGTTGTTTCTGAGAATCATTCTGTCTAGTTTTCCTACGAAGATATTGCCTTTTCTACCATAGGCCTCAAACGGCGCTAAATATCCACCTGGAAATTGTACAAAAACTGAGTTTCAAAAGTGCTCTATTGAAAGGAAGCTTCAACTCTGTGAGTTGAAGGTGCACATCACAAAGAAGTTTCTGAGAATTCTTCTGTCAAGGTTTATATGAAGAAATCCCGTTTCCAATGAAGGCCTCAAAAAAGTCCAAATATTTACTTGCAGATTCTACAAAAAGAGTGTTTCATAACTGGTCTATCAAAAGAAAGGTTAAACTCCGTGAGTTGAACGCACACATCACAAAGTTGTTTCTGAGAATCATTCTGTCTAGTTTTTCTATGAAGATATTGCCTTTTCCACCATAGGCCTCAAACGGCGCTAAATATCCACTTGGAAATTCTACAAAAAGAGAGTTACAAAACTGCTCTATCGAAAGGAAGATGCAACTCTGCGAGTTGAAAGCACACATCGCGAAGAAGTTGATGAGAATTCTTCTGTCAAGGTTTATATGAAGAAATCCCGTTTCCAATGAAGGCCTCAAAAAAGTCCAAATATTTACTTGCAGATTCTACAAAAAGAGTGTTTCATAACTGGTCTATCAAAAGAAAGGTTAAACTCAGTGAGTTGAACCCACACATCACAAAGTAGTTTCTGAGAATCATTCTGTCTAGTCCTCCTATGAAGATATTGCCTTTTCTACCATAGGCCTCAAACGGCGCTAAATATCCACCTGGAAATTCTACAAAAACTGAGTTTCTAAGGTGCTCTATTGAATGGAAGCTTCAACTCTGTGAGTTGAAGGTACACATCACAAAGAAGTTTCTGAGAATTCTTCTGTCTAGTTGTAAATGAAGAAAGCAAGTTTCACACGAAGGCCACAAAGAGGTCCAAATATCCACTTGCAGATTCCACATAAAGAGTGCTTCAAAACGGCTCCATCAAGAGGAATGTTCAACTCCGTGCGTTGAATGCAAATATCACAAATAAGTTTCTGACAATACTTATGTCTAGTTTTTCTGTGAAGATATTTTATCTTCTACATAGGCCTGAAACCGCTCTAAATATTCACGTGGAAATTCTACAAAAAGAATATTTCAACCCTCTTCTATCAAAAGGAAGGTTGAACTCTGAGAGTTAAATGCACACATCACAGAGAAGTTTCTGGGAATTCTTCTGTCAAGGTTTATATGAAGAGATCCCGTTTCCAATGAAGGCCTCAAAAAAGTCCAAATATTTACTTGCAGATTCTACAAAAAGAGTGTTTCATAACTGGTCTATCAAAAGAAAGGTTAAACTCCGTGAGTTGAACGCACACATCACAAAGTTGTTTCTGAGAATCATTCTGTCTAGTTTTTCTACGAAGATATTGCCTTTTCCACCATAGGCCTCAAACGGCGCTAAATATCCACCTGGAAATTCTACAGAAACTGAGTTTCAAAAGTGCTCTATTGAAAGGAAGCTTCAACTCTGTGAGTTGAAAGTACACATCACAAAGAAGTTTCTGAGAATTCTTCTGTCTAGTTGTAAATGAAGAAATCACGTTTCCCACGAAGGCCACAAAGAGGTCCAAATATCCACTTGCAGATTCCACAAAAAGAGTGCTTCAAAACGGCTCCATCAAGAGGAATGTTCAACTCCGTGCGTTGAATGCAAATATCACAAATAAGTTTCTGACAATACTTCTGTCTAGTTTTCCTACGAAGATATTGCCTTTTCTACCATAGGCCTCAAACGGCGCTAAATATCCACCTGGAAATTCTACAAAAACTGAGTTTCAAAAGTGCTCTATTGAAAGGAAGCTTCAACTCTGTGAGTTGAAGGTACACATCACAAAGAAGTTTCTGAGAATTCTTGTGTCTAGTTTTCCTGTGAAGACATTTTCTCTTCTACATAGGCCTGAAACCGCTCTAAATATTCACTTGGAAATTCTACAAAAAGAATATTTCAACACTCTTCTATCAAAAGGAAGGTTGAACTCTGAGAGTTAAATGCACACATCACAAAGAAGTTTCTGAGAATTCTTCTGTCAAGGTTTATATGAAGAAATCCCGTTTCCAATGAAGGCCTCAAAAAAGTCCAAATATTTACTTGCAGATTCTACAAAAAGAGTGTTTCATAACTGGTCTATCAAAAGAAAGGTTAAACTCAGTGAGTTGAACCCACACATCACAAAGTAGTTTCTGAGAATCATTGTGTCTAGTTTTCCTGTGAAGACATTTTCTCTTCTACATAGGCCTGAAACCGCTCTAAATATTCACTTGGAAATTCTACAAAAAGAATATTTCAACACTCTTCTATCAAAAGGAAGGTTGAACTCTGAGAGTTAAATGCACACATCACAAAGAAGTTTCTGAGAATTCTTCTGTCAAGGTTTATATGAAGAAATCCCGTTTCCAATGAAGGCCTCAAAAAAGTCCAAATATTTACTTGCAGATCCTACAAAAAGAGTGTTTCATACCTGGTCTATCAAAAGAAAGGTTAAACTCCGTGAGTTGAACGCACACATCACAAAGTTGTTTCTGAGAATCATTCTGTCTAGTTTTTCTACGAAGATATTGCCTTTTCAACCATAGGCCTCAAACGGCGCTAAATATCCACCTGGAAATTCTACAGAAACTGAGTTTCAAAGGTGCTCTATTGAAAGGAAGCTTCAACTCTGTGAGTTGAAAGTACACATCACAAAGTAGTTTCTGAGAATTCTTCTGTCAAGGTTTATATGAAGAGATCCCGTTTCCAATGAAGGCCTCAAAAAAGTCCAAATATTTACTTGCAGATTCTACAAAAAGAGTGTTTCATAACTAGTCTATCAAAAGAAAGGTTAAACTCCGAGTGTTGAACGCACACATCACAAAGTTGTTTCTGAGAATCATTCTGTCTAGTCCTCCTACGAAGATATTGCCTTTTCTACCATAGGCCTCAAACGGCGCTAAATATCCACCTGGAAATTCTACAAAAACTGAGTTTCTAAGGTGCTCTATTGAAAGGAAGTTTCAACTCTGTGAGTTGAAGGTACACATCACAAAGAAGTTTCTGAGAATTCTTCTGTCAAGGTTTATATGAAGAGATCCCGTTTCCAATGAAGGCCTCAAAAAAGTCCAAATATTTACTTGCAGATTCTACAAAAAGAGTGTTTCATAACTGGTCTATGAAAAGAAAGGTTAAACTCCGTGAGTTGAACGCACACATCACAAAGTTGTTTCTGAGAATCATTCTGTCTAGTTTTTCAACGAAGATATTGCCTTTTCCACCATAGGCCTCAAACGGCGCTAAATATCCACCTGGAAATTCTACAGAAACTGAGTTTCAAAAGTGCTCTATTGAAAGGAAGCTTCAACACTGTCAGTTGAAAGTACACATCACAAAGTAGTTTCTGAGAATTCTTCTGTCAAGGTTTCTATGGAGAAATCCCGTTTCCAATGAAGGCCTCAAAAAAGTCCAAATATTTACTTGCAGATTCTACAAAAAGAGTGTTTCATAACTGGTCTATCAAAAGAAAGGTTAAACTCAGTGAGGTGAACCCACACATCACAAAGTAGTTTCTGAGAATCATTATGTCTAGTTTTTCTGTGAAGATATTTTATCTTCTACATAGGCCTGAAACCGCTCTAAATATTCACGTGGAAATTCTACAAAAAGAATATTTCAACCCTCTTCTATCAAAAGGAAGGTTGAACTCTGAGAGTTAAATGCACACATCACAGAGAAGTTTCTGGGAATTCTTCTGTCAAGGTTTATATGAAGAGATCCCGTTTCCAATGAAGGCCTCAAAAAAGTCCAAATATTTACTTGCAGATTCTACAAAAAGAGTGTTTCATAACTGGTCTATCAAAAGAAAGGTTAAACTCCGTGAGTTGAACGCACACATCACAAAGTTGTTTCTGAGAATCATTATGTCTAGTTTTTCTGTGAAGATATTTTATCTTCTACATAGGCCTGAAACCGCTCTAAATATTCACGTGGAAATTCTACAAAAAGAATATTTCAACCCTCTTCTATCAAAAGGAAGGTTGAACTCTGAGAGTTAAATGCACACATCACAGAGAAGTTTCTGGGAATTCTTCTGTCAAGGTTTATATGAAGAAACCCCGTTTCCAATGAAGGCCTCAAAAAAGTCCAAAGATTTACTTGCAGATTCTACAAAAAGAGTGTTTCATAAACTGGTCTATCAAAAGAAAGTTTAAACTCAGTGAGTTGAACCCACACATCACAAAGTAGCTTCTGAGAATCATTGTGTCTAGTTTTTCTGTGAAGATATTTTCTCTTCTACATAGGCCTGAAACTGCTCTAAATATTCACTTGGAAATTCTATAAAAAGAATATTTCAACACTCTTCTATCAAAAGGAAGGTTGAACTCTGAGAGTAAAATACACACATCACAAAGAAGTTTCTGAGAATCCCTCTGTCAAGGTTTATATGAAGAAATCCCGTTTCCAATGAAGGCCTCAAAAAAGTCCAAATATTTACTTGCAGATTCTACAAAAAGAGTGTTTCATAACTGGTCTATCAAAAGAAAGGTTAAACTCCGTGAGTTGAACGCACACATCACAAAGTTGTTTCTGAGAATCATTCTGTCTAGTTTTTCTACGAAGATATTGCCTTTTCCACCATAGGCCTCAAACGGCGCAAAATATCCACCTGGAAATTCTACAGAAACTGAGTTTCAAAAGTGCTCTATTGAAAGGAAGCTTCAACTCTGTGAGTTGAAAGTACACATCACAAAGAAGTTTCTGAGAATTCTTCTGTCTAGTTGTAAATGAAGAAATCACGTTTCACACGAAGGCCACAAAGAGGTCCAAATATCCACTTGCAGATTCCACAAAAAGAGTGCTTCAAAACGGCTCCATCAAGAGGAATGTTCAACTCCGTGCGTTGAATGCAAATATCACAAATAAGTTTCTGACAATACTTATGTCTAGTTTTTCTGTGAAGATATTTTATCTTCTACATAGGCCTGAAACCGCTCTAAATATTCACGTGGAAATTCTACAAAAAGAATATTTCAACCCTCTTCTATCAAAAGGAAGGTTGAACTCTGAGAGTTAAATGCACACATCACAGAGAAGTTTCTGGGAATTCTTCTGTCAAGGTTTATATGAAGAAATCCCGTTTCCAATGAAGGCCTCAAAAAAGTCCAAATATTTACTTGCAGATTCTACAAAAAGAGTGTTTCATAACTGGTCTATCAAAAGAAAGGTTAAACTACGTGAGTTGAACGCACACATCACAAAGTTGTTTCTGAGAATCATTATGTCTAGTTTTTCTGTGAAGATATTTTATCTTCTACATAGGCCTGAAACCGCTCTAAATATTCACGTGGAAATTCTACAAAAAGAATATTTCAACCCTCTTCTATCAAAAGGAAGGTTGAACTCTGAGAGTTAAATGCACACATCACAGAGAAGTTTCTGGGAATTCTTCTGTCAAGGTTTATATGAAGAAATCCCGTTTCCAATGAAGGCCTCAAAAAAGTCCAAATATTTACTTGCAGATTCTACAAAAAGAGTGTTTCATAACTGGTCTATCAAAAGAAAGGTTAAACTCCGTGAGTTGAACGCACACATCACAAAGTTGTTTCTGAGAATCATTCTGTCTAGTTTTTCTACGAAGATATTGCCTTTTCCACCATAGGCCTCAAACGGCGCTAAATATCCACCTGGAAATTCTACAGAAACTGAGTTTCAAAAGTGCTCTATTGAAAGGAAGCTTCAACTCTGTGAGTTGAAAGTACACATCACAAAGAAGTTTCTGAGAATTCTTCTGTCAAGGTTTCTATGAAGAAATCCCGTTTCCAATGAAGGCCTCAAAAAAGTCCAAATATTTACTTGCAGATTCTACAAAAAGAGTGTTTCATAACTGGTCTATCAAAAGAAAGGTTAAACTCAGTGAGTTGAACCCACACATCACAAAGTAGTTTCTGAGAATCATTCTGTCTAGTTTTTCTACGAAGACATTGCCTTTTCCACCATAGACCTCAAACGGCGCTAAATATCCACCTGGAAATTCTACAGAAACTGAGTTTCAAAAGTGCTCTATTGAAAGGAAGCTTCAACTCTGTGAGTTGAAAGTACACATCACAAAGAAGTTTCTGAGAATTCTTCTGTCAAGGTTTATATGAAGAAATCCCGTTTCCAATGAAGGCCTCAAAAAAGTCCAAATATTTACTTGCAGATTCTACAAAAGGAGTGTTTCATAACTGGTCTATCAAAAGAAAGGTTAAACTCCGTGAGTTGAACGCACACATCACAAAGTTGTTTCTGAGAATCATTCTGTCTAGTTTTCCTACGAAGATATTGCCTTTTCTACCATAGGCCTCAAACGGCGCTAAATATCCACCTGGAAATTCTACAAAAACTGAGTTTCAAAAGTGCTCTATTGAAAGGAAGCTTCAACTCTGTGAGTTGAAGGTACACATCACAAAGAAGTTTCTGAGAATTCTTCTGTCAAGGTTTATATGAAGAAACCCCGTTTCCAATGAAGGCCTCAAAAAAGTCCAAAGATTTACTTGCAGATTCTACAAAAAGAGTGTTTCATAAACTGGTCTATCAAAAGAAAGTTTAAACTCAGTGAGTTGAACCCACACATCACAAAGTAGCTTCTGAGAATCATTCTGTCTAGTTTTCCTACGAAGATATTGCCTTTTCTACCATAGGCCTCAAACGGCGCTAAATATCCACCTGGAAATTCTACAAAAACTGAGTTTCAAAAGTGCTCTATTGAAAGGAAGCTTCAACTCTGTGAGTTGAAGGTACACATCACAAAGAAGTTTCTGAGAATTCTTGTGTCTAGTTTTCCTGTGAAGACATTTTCTCTTCTACATAGGCCTGAAACCGCTCTAAATATTCACTTGGAAATTCTACAAAAAGAATATTTCAACACTCTTCTATCAAAAGGAAGGTTGAACTCTGAGAGTTAAATGCACACATCACAAAGAAGTTTCTGAGAATTCTTCTGTCTAGTTGTAAATGAAGAAATCACGTTTCAAACGAAGGCCACAAAGAGGTCCAAATATCCACCTGCAGATTCTACAAAAAGAGTGTTTCCAAACTGCTCCATCAAGAGGAATGTTCAACTCGGTGCGTTGAATGCAAATATCACAAATAAGTTTCTGACAATACTTTCTGTCTAGTTTTTCAACGAAGATATTGCCTTTTCCACCATAGGCCTCAAACGGCGCTAAATATCCACCTGGAAATTCTACAGAAACTGAGTTTCAAAAGTGCTCTATTGAAAGGAAGCTTCAACACTGTCAGTTGAAAGTACACATCACAAAGTAGTTTCTGAGAATTCTTCTGTCAAGGTTTATATGAAGAGATCCCGTTTCCAATGAAGGCCTCAAAAAAGTCCAAATATTTACTTGCAGATTCTACAAAAAGAGTGTTTCATAACTAGTCTATCAAAAGAAAGGTTAAACTCCGTGAGTTGAACGCACACATCACAAAGTTGTTTCTGAGAATCATTCTGTCTAGTTTTTCTACGAAGATATTGCCTTTTCCACCATAGGCCTCAAACGGCGTTAAATATCCACCTGGAAATTCTACAGAAACTGAGTTTCAAAGGTGCTCTATTGAAAGGAAGCTTCAACTCTGTGAGTTGAAAGTACACATCACAAAGAAGTTTCTGAGAATTCTTCTGTCAAGGTTTCTATGAAGGAATCCCGTTTCCAATGAAGGCCTCAAGAAAGTCCAAATATTTACTTGCAGATTCTACAAAAAGAGTGTTTCATAACTGGTCTATCCAAAGAAAGGTTAACCTCAGTGAGTTGAATGCACACATCACAAAGTAGTTTCTGAGAATCATTCTGTCTAGTTTTTCTACGAAGATATTGCCTTCTCCACCATAGGCCTCAAACGGCGCTAAATATCCACCTGGAAATTCTACAGAAACTGAGTTTCAAAAGTGCTCTATTGAAAGGAAGCTTCAACTCTGTGAGTTGAAAGTACACATCACAAAGAAGTTTCTGAGAATTCTTCTGTCTAGTTGTAAATGAAGAAATCACGTTTCCCACGAAGGCCACAAAGAGGTCCAAATATCCACTTGCAGATTCCACAAAAAGAGTGCTTCAAAACGGCTCCATCAAGAGGAATGTTCAACTCCGTGCGTTGAATGCAAATATCACAAATAAGTTTCTGACAATACTTCTGTCTAGTTTTCCTACGAAGATATTGCCTTTTCTACCATAGGCCTCAAACGGCGCTAAATATCCACCTGGAAATTCTACAAAAACTGAGTTTCAAAAGTGCTCTTTTGAAAGGAAGCTTCAACTCTGTGAGTTGAAGGTACACATCACAAAGAAGTTTCTGAGAATTCTTCTGTCAAGGTTTCTATGAAGAAATCCCGTTTCCAATGAAGGCCTCAAAAAAGTCCAAATATTTACTTGCAGATTCTACAAAAAGAGTGTTTTGTAACTGGTCTATCAAAAGAAAGGTTAAACTCAGTGAGTTGAACCCACACATCACAAAGTAGTTTCTGAGAATCATTCTGTCTAGTTTTCCTATGAAGATATTGCCTTTTCTACCATAGGCCTCAAACGGCGCTAAATATCCCCCTGGAAATTCTACAAAAACTGAGTTTCAGAAGTGCTCTATTGAAAGGAAGCTTCAACTCTGTGAGTTGAAGGTACACATCACAAAGAAGTCTCTGAGAATTCTTCTGTCAAGGTTTATATGGGGAGATCCCGTTTCCAATGAAGGCCTCAAAAAAGTCCAAATGTTTACTTGCAGATTCTACAAAAAGAGTGTTTCATAACTGGTCTATCAAAAGAAAGGTTAAACTCCGTGAGTTGAACGCACACATCACAAAGTTGTTTCTGAGAATCATTGTGTCTAGTTTTTCTGTGAAGATATTTTCTCTTCTACATAGGCCTGAAACTGCTCTAAATATTCACCTGGAAATTCTATAAAAAGAATATTTCAACACTCTTCTATCAAAAGGAAGGTTGAACTCTGAGAGTTAAATGCACACATCACAAAGAAGTTTCTGAGAATCCCTCTGTCAAGGTTTCTATGAAGGAATCCCGTTTCCAATGAAGGCCTCAAGAAAGTCCAAATATTTACTTGCAGATTCTACAAAAAGAGTGTTTCATAACTGGTCTATCCAAAGAAAGGTTAACCTCAGTGAGTTGAATGCACACATCACAAAGTAGTTTCTGAGAATCATTCTGTCTAGTTTTCCTACGAAGATATTGCCTTTTCTACCATAGGCCTCAAACGGCGCTAAATATCCACCTGGAAATTCTACAAAAACTGAGTTTCAAAAGTGCTCTATTGAAAGGAAGCTTCAACTCTGTGAGTTGAAGGTACACATCACAAAGAAGTTTCTGAGAATTCTTCTGTCTAGTTGTAAATGAAGAAATCACGTTTCCCACGAAGGCCACAAAGAGGTCCAAATATCCACTTGCAGATTCCACAAAAAGAGTGCTTCAAAACGGCTCCATCAAGAGGAATGTTCAACTCCGTGCGTTGAATGCAAATATCACAAATAAGTTTCTGACAATACTTCTGTCTAGTTTTTCTACGAAGATATTGCCTTTTCCACCATAGGCCTCAAACGGCGCTAAATATCCACCTGGAAATTCTACAGAAACTGAGTTTCAAAAGTGCTCTATTGAAAGGAAGCTTCAACTCTGTGAGTTGAAAGTACACATCACAAAGAAGTTTCTGAGAATTCTTCTGTCAAGGTTTCTATGAAGAAATCCCGTTTCCAATGAAGGCCTCAAAAAAGTCCAAATATTTACTTGCAGATTCTACAAAAAGAGTGTTTTGTAACTGGTCTATCAAAAGAAAGGTTAAACTCAGTGAGTTGAACCCACACATCACAAAGTAGTTTCTGAGAATCATTCTGTCTAGTTTTTCTACGAAGACATTGCCTTTTCCACCATAGGCCTCAAACGGCGCTAAATATCCACCTGGAAATTCTACAGAAACTGAGTTTCAAAAGTGCTCTATTGAAAGGAAGCTTCAACTCTGTGAGTTGAAAGTACACATCACAAAGAAGTTTCTGAGAATTCTTCTGTCAAGGTTTCTATGAAGAAATCCCGTTTCCAATGAAGGCCTCAAAAAAGTCCAAATATTTACTTGCAGATTCTACAAAAAGAGTGTTTCGTAACTGGTCTATCAAAAGAAAGGTTAAACTCAGTGAGTTGAACCCACACATCACAAAGTAGTTTCTGAGAATCATTCTGTCTAGTTTTTCTACGAAGATATTGCCTTTTCCACCATAGGCCTCAAACGGCGCTAAATATCCACCTGGAAATTCTACAGAAACTGAGTTTCAAAAGTGCTCTATTGAAAGGAAGCTTCAACTCTGTGAGTTGAAAGTACACATCACAAGAAGTTTCTGAGAATTCTTCTGTCAAGGTTTCTATGAAGAAATCCCGTTTCCAATGAAGGCCTCAAAAAAGTCCAAATATTTACTTGCAGATTCTACAAAAAGAGTGTTTTATAACTGGTCTATCAACAGAAAGGTTAAACTCAGTGAGTTGAACCCACACATCACAAAGTAGTTTCTGAGAATCATTCTGTCTAGTTTTTCTACGAAGATATTGCCTTTTCCACCATAGGCCTCAAACGGCGCTAAATATCCACCTGGAAATTCTACAGAAACTGAGTTTCAAAAGTGCTCTATTGAAAGGAAGCTTCAACTCTGTGAGTTGAAAGTACACATCACAAAGAGGTTTCTGAGAATTCTTCTGTCAAGGTTTATATGAAGAAATCCCGTTTCCAATGAAGGCCTCAAAAAAGTCCAAATGTTTACTTGCAGATTCTACAAAAAGAGTGTTTCATAACTGGTCTATCAAAAGAAAGGTTAAACTCCGTGAGTTGAACGCACACATCACAAAGTTGTTTCTGAGAATCATTCTGTCTAGTCCTCCTATGAAGATATTGCCTTTTCTACCATAGGCCTCAAACGGCGCTAAATATCCACCTGGAAATTCTACAAAAACTGAGTTTCTAAGGTGCTCTATTGAAAGGAAGCTTCAACTCTGTGAGTTGAAGGTACACATCACAAAGAAGTTTCTGAGAATTCTTCTGTCAAGGTTTATATGAAGAAACCCCGTTTCCAATGAAGGCCTCAAAAAAGTCCAAAGATTTACTTGCAGATTCTACAAAAAGAGTGTTTCATAAACTGGTCTATCAAAAGAAAGGTTAAACTCAGTGAGTTGAACCCACACATCACAAAGTAGCTTCTGAGAATCATTCTGTCTAGTCCTCCTACGAAGATATTGCCTTTTCTACCATAGGCCTCAAACGGCGCTAAATATCCACCTGGAAATTCTACAAAAACTGAGTTTCTAAGGTGCTCTATTGAAAGGAAGCTTCAACTCTGTGAGTTGAAGGTACACATCACAAAGAAGTTTCTGAGAATTCTTCTGTCAAGGTTTGTATGAAGAGATCCCGTTTCCAATGAAGGCCTCAAAAAAGTCCAAATATTTACTTGCAGATTCTACAAAAAGAGTGTTTCATAACTGGTCTATCAAAAGAAAGGTTAAACTCCGTGAGTTGAACGCACACATCACAAAGTTGTTTCTGAGAATCATTCTGTCTAGTTTTCCTACGAAGATATTGCCTTTTCTACCATAGGCCTCAAACGACGCTAAATATCCACCTGGAAATTCTACAAAAACTGAGTTTCAAAAGTGCTCTATTGAAAGGAAGCTTCAACTCTGTGAGTTGAAGGTACACATCACAAAGAAGTTTCTGAGAATTCTTCTGTCAAGGTTTATATGAAGAGATCCCGTTTCCAATGAAGGCCTCAAAAAAGTCCAAATATTTACCTGCAGATTCTACAAAAAGAGTGTTTCATAACTGGTCTATCAAAAGAAAGGTTAAACTCCGTGAGTTGAACGCACACATCACAAAGTTGTTTCTGAGAATCATTCTGTCTAGTTTTTCAACGAAGATATTGCCTTTTCCACCATAGGCCTCAAACGGCGCTAAATATCCACCTGGAAATTCTACAGAAACTGAGTTTCAAAAGTGCTCTATTGAAAGGAAGCTTCAACACTGTCAGTTGAAAGTACACATCACAAAGTAGTTTCTGAGAATTCTTCTGTCTAGATTTTATGTGAAGACATTCCCTTTTGTACCACAGGCCTGAAATCACTCTAAATATAGAATTGCAAAATACACAAACAGAGTGTTTAAAACCGCTCGATCCAAAGAAAGGTTAAACCCTGTAAGGTGAATGCGCACATCACAAAGTAGCTTCAGAGAACAATTCTGTCTAGTTTTTCTACGAAGACATTGCCTTTTCCACCATAGACCTCAAACGGCGCTAAATATCCACCTGGAAATTCTACAGAAACTGAGTTTCAAAAGTGCTCTATTGAAAGGAAGCTTCAACTCTGTGAGTTGAAAGTACACATCACAAAGAAGTTTCGGAGAATTCTTCTGTCAAGGTTTCTATGAAGAAATCCCGTTTCCAATGAAGGCCTCAAAAAAGTCCAAATATTTACTTGCAGATTCTACAAAAAGAGTGTTTTGTAACTGGTCTATCAAAAGAAAGGTTAAACTCAGTGAGTTGAACCCACACATCACAAAGTAGTTTCTGAGAATCATTATGTCTAGTTTTTCTGTGAAGATACTTTCTCTTCTACTTAGCCCTGAAACCGCTCTAAATATTCACTTGGAAATTCTACAAAAAGAAAATTTCAACCCTCTTCTATCAAAAGGAAGGTTGAACTCTGAGAGTTAAATGCACACATCACAGAGAAGTTTCTGGGAATTCTTCTGGTAAGGCTTATATGAAGAAATCCCGTTTCCAATGAAGGCCTCAAGAAAGTCCAAATATTTACTTGCAGATTCTACAAAAAGAGTGTTTCATAACTGGTCTATCAAAAGAAAGGTTAAACTCAGTGAGTTGAACCCACACATCACAAAGTAGTGTCTGAGAATCATTGTGTCTAGTTTTCCTACGAAGATATTGCCTTTTCTACCATAGGCCTCAAACGGCGCTAAATATCCACCTGGAAATTCTACAAAAACTGAGTTTCAAAAGTGCTCTATTGAAAGGAAGCTTCAACTCTGTGAGTTGAAGGTACACATCACAAAGAAGTTTCTGAGAATTCTTCTGTCTAGATTTTATGTGAAGACATTCCCTTTTGTACCACAGGCCTGAAATCACTCTAAATATAGAATTGCAAAATACACAAACAGAGTGTTTAAAACCGCTCGATCCAAAGAAAGGTTAAACCCTGTAAGGTGAATGCGCACATCACAAAGTAGCTTCAGAGAACAATTCTGTCTAGTTTTTCTACGAAGATATTGCCTTTTCCACCATAGGCCTCAAACGGCGCTAAATATCCACCTGGAAATTCTACAGAAACTGAGTTTCAAAAGTGCTCTATTGAAAGGAAGCTTCAAATCTGTGAGTTGAAAGTACACATCACAAAGAAGTTTCTGAGAATTCTTCTGTCAAGGTTTGTATGAAGAGATCCCGTTTCCAATGAAGGCCTCAAAAAAGTCCAAATATTTACTTGCAGATTCTACAAAAACAGTGTTTCATAACTGGTCTATCAAAAGAAAGGTTAAACTCCGTGAGTTGAACGCACACATCACAAAGTTGTTTCTGAGAATCATTCTGTCTAGTTTTTCTACGAAGATATTGCCTTTTCCACCATAGGCCTCAAACGGCGCTAAATATCCACCTGGAAATTCTACAGAAACTGAGTTTCAAAAGTGCTCTATTGAAAGGAAGCTTCAACTCTGTGAGTTGAAAGTACACATCACAAAGAAGTTTCTGATAATTCT
>NC_000003.12:90699792-90722458 GCF_000001405.40 Homo sapiens | reverse complement strand
AGTGATATTTGGACTTTTATGAGGTCTTCTTTGGAAGCGGGACTCCTTCATATAAAACTTGGCAGAAGAATTCTCAGAAACTTCTCTGTGATGTGTGCATTCAACTCACAGAGTTGAAGCTTCCTGTCGATAGAGCAGCTTTGAAATAGCCTTTTGTAGAATTTCCAAGTGGATATTTAGAGCGGTTTGAGGCTTGTGGTGGAAAATGAAATATCTTAATAGAGAAACTAGACAGAATCATTCTCATAAACTACATTGTGATTTGTGCATTGAGCTTATGGAGTTTAACATTCCTTTTGATAGATCAGGTTTGAAACACCCTTTTGGGGGAATTTGCAAGTGCATATATATCGTGCTTTGAGGCCTATGGTAGAAAAGGAAATAACATAAAAACTAGACAGGATTGTCAGAAACGATTTTGTGATATTTGCATTCAACTCACAGAGTTGAACATTGCTCTTGATAGAGGAGTTTTGAAACACTCTTTTTGTGGAATGTGCAAATGGATATTTGGACCTCTTTGTGGCCTTCGTTTGAAAACGTGATTTCTTCATATAAAACTAGAGAGAAGAAGTCTAAGAAACTTCTTTGTGATGTGTGCTTTCAACTCACAGATTTGAACCTTCAATTCGATACAGCAGTTTTGAAACCCTTTTTTTCGAATTTCCAAGTGGATATTTAGAGCTGTTTGAGGCCTATGGTAGAAAACACAATATCTTCATAGAAAAACTAGACAGAATGATTCTCAGAAACTACTTTGTGATGTGTGGGTTCAACTCACTGAGTTAACCTTTCTTTTGATAGACCAGTTATGAAACACTCTTTTTGTGGAATCTGCAAGTAAATTTTTGGACTTTTTTGAGGCCTTCATTGGAAACGGGATTTCTTCATAGAAACCTTGACAGAAGAATTCCCAGAAACTTCTTTGTGATGTGTGCATTTAACTCTCAGAGTTCAACCTTCCTTTTGACAGAAGAGTTTTGAAATATTCTTCTTCTAGAATTTTCAAGTGAATATTTAGAGCGGTTTCAGGCCTATGTAGAAGAGAAAATATCTTCACAGAGAAACTAGACATAATTGTTCTCTGCAGCTACTTTGTGATGTGCGCCTTCAGCTGACAGAGTTTAACCTTTCTTTGGATAGAGCGGTTTTAAACACTCTTTTTGTGGAATTTGCAATTCTATATTTAGAGTGCTTTCAGGCCTGTCGTACAAAAGGGAATGTCTTCACATAAAATCTAGACAGAAGCATTGTCGGAAACGACTTGGTGATACCTGCCTTCAACTCTCAGAGTTGAATATTCCTCTTGATGCAGCAGTTTTGAAAAACTCTTTTTGTTGAATCTCCACGTGGGTATTTGGACCTCTTTGTGGCCTTCGTTTGAAACGTGACTGCTTCATACAAAAGTAGACAGAAGAATTCTCATAAACTTCTTCGTGATGTGTGCTTTCAACTCGCAGCGTTGAAGCTTCCTTTCGATAGAGCAGTTTTGTGACTCTCTTTTTGTAGAATTTCCAAGTGGATATTTGGCGCCGTTTGAGGCTTATGGTGGAAAATGCAATATCTTCCTAGAAAAACTAGACAGAATGATTCTCAGAAACTACATTGTGATGTGTGCCTTCAACTCACAGAGTTTAACCTTTCTTTTGATAGAGCAGTTTTGAAAAACTCTTTTTGTAGAATCTGCAAGTGTATATTGGGACTTTTCTGAGGCCATCTTTGGAAACGGGATTTCTTCGTATAAAACTTGAAGGAAGAATCCTCAGAAAATTATTTGAGATATGTGCATTTAACTCATGGAGTTGAAACTTCCTTTCGATAGAAGCGTTTTGAAATACTCTTTTTGTAGAATTTCCAAGTGGATTTTTACAGCGGTTTGAGGTCTATGGCGGAAAAAGAAATATCTTCACAGAGAAACTAGACATAATTGTTCTCTGAAGCTACTTTGTGATGTGCGCCTTCAGCTGACAGAGTTTAACCTTTCTTTGGATAGAGCGGTTTTAAACACTCTTTCTGTGGAATTTGCAATTCTATATTTAGAGTGCTTTCAGGCCTGTGGTACAAAAGGGAATGTCTTCACATAAAATCTAAACAGAAGCGTTGTCGGAAACTACTTTGTGATACCTGCCTTCAACTCTCAGAGTTGAATATTCCTCTTGACGGAGCAGTTTTGAAAAACTCTTTTTGTTGAATCTCCAAGTGGAGATTTGGACCTCTTTGTGGCCTTCGTTTGAGACGTGACTTCTTCCTACAAAACTAGACAGAAGAATTCTCATCAACTTCTTTGCGATGTGTGCTTTCAACTCGCAGATTTGCAGCTTCCTTTCGATAGAGGAGTTTTGAAACTCTCTTTTTGTAGTATTTCCAAGTGGATATTTAGCGCCGTTCGAGGCCTATGGTAGAAAAGGCAATATCTTCGTAGAAAAACTAGACAGAATGATTCTCAGAAACTGCTTTGAGATGTGTGCGTTTAACTCACAGAATTGAAACTTTCTTTTGATAGAGCGGTTTTGAAACACTCTTTTCGTGGAATCTGCAAGTGAATATTTGGACTTTCTTGAGGCCTTCGTTGGAAACGGGATTTCTTCAACCTGACAGAAGAATTGTCAGTAACTTATTTGGGAGGTGTGCATCAACTCACAGAGCTGAACCTTCCTTTCGATAGAGTAATTTTGAAATAATCTTTTTTCAGAATCTCCAAGTGGATATTTAGTGCGGTTTGAGGCCTATGGTAGAAAAGGAAATATCTTCATAGAAAAACCAGATAGAATAGTTATCAGAAACTACTTTGTGGTGTGTGCATTCAGGTTACAGAGTTTAACGTTTCTTTTGATAGAGCAGTTTTGAACCACTCTTTTTGTGGAATTTGCAAGTGTATATTTAGAGCACTTCGAAGCCTGCGGTAGAAAATGATATATCTTTACATAAAAACTAGACAGAAGCATTGTCAGAAACTACTTTGTTTTATTTGCATTCAACTCACAGAGTTGAACGTTCCTCTTGACAGAGCAGTTTTGAAATATCCTTTTTGTAGAATCTGCATTTGGATATTTGGACCTCTTTGTTATGTTCGTTTGAAACGTGATTTCTTCATAGAAAACTAGAGGGAAGAATTCTCAGAAACTTCTTTCTGCTGTATGATTTCAACTCACAGAGTTTAACCATCCTTTCAATAGAGCAGTTTTAAAACTCTCTTATTGTAGAATATCCAAGTGGATATTTAGCGCCGTTTGAGGCCTACGGTAGGAAAGGCAATATCTTCATAGAGAAAGTAGACAGAATGATTCTCAGAAACTACTTTGTGATGTGTGCGTTCAACTCTCAGAGTTTAACCTTTCTTTTCATAGAGCAGTTTTGAAACACTCTTTGGGTAGAATCTGCAAGTGAATATTTGGACTTTTATGAGGTCTTCTTTGGAAGCGGGACTCCTTCATATAAAACTTGGCAGAAGAATTCTCAGAAACTTCTCTGTGATGTGTGCATTCAACTCACAGAGTTGAAGCTTCCTGTCGATAGAGCAGCTTTGAAATAGCCTTTTGTAGAATTTCCAAGTGGATATTTAGAGCGGTTTGAGGCTTGTGGTGGAAAATGAAATATCTTAATAGAGAAACTAGACAGAATCATTCTCATAAACTACATTGTGATTTGTGCATTGAGCTTATGGAGTTTAACATTCCTTTTGATAGATCAGGTTTGAAACACCCTTTTGGGGGAATTTGCAAGTGCATATATATCGTGCTTTGAGGCCTATGGTAGAAAAGGAAATAACATAAAAACTAGACAGGATTGTCAGAAACGATTTTGTGATATTTGCATTCAACTCACAGAGTTGAACATTGCTCTTGATAGAGGAGTTTTGAAACACTCTTTTTGTGGAATGTGCAAATGGATATTTGGACCTCTTTGTGGCCTTCGTTTGAAAACGTGATTTCTTCATATAAAACTAGAGAGAAGAAGTCTAAGAAACTTCTTTGTGATGTGTGCTTTCAACTCACAGATTTGAACCTTCAATTCGATACAGCAGTTTTGAAACCCTTTTTTTCGAATTTCCAAGTGGATATTTAGAGCTGTTTGAGGCCTATGGTAGAAAACACAATATCTTCATAGAAAAACTAGACAGAATGATTCTCAGAAACTACTTTGTGATGTGAGCATTCAACTCACAGAATTTAAACTGTCTTTTGAGAGAGCAGTTTTGAAACACTCTTTTTGTGGAATTTGCAAGGGTATGTTTATAGTGCTTTGAGGTCTACGGTAGAAAACGAAATATTTTCACATAAAAACTAGACAGAAGCATTGTCAGAAACTACTTTTTGATATTTAATTTCAACTCACAGAGTTGAACATTCCTCTTGACAGAGCAGCTTTTTAACACTCTTTTGGTAGATTCTGCAAGTGGATATGTTGACCTCTTCGTAGCCTTCATTTGAAATGGGATTTCTTCATATAAAACTAGACAGAAGAATTCTCAGAATCTTCTTTGTGTTGTGTGCATTCAGCACACAGATTTGCACCTTCCTTTCTATAGAGCAGTTTTGAAAATCTCTTTTGTAGAATATCCAAGTGGATATTTAGCGCCTTTGAGGCCTATAGTGCCTATAGTAGAAAAGGCAATATCTTCATAGAAAAACTAGACAGAATGTTTCTCAGAAACTACTTTGTGATGTGTGCGTTCAACTCACAGCATTTAACCTTTCTTTTGATAGAGCAGTTTTGAAACACTCTTTTTGTAGAATCTGCAAGTGAATATTTGGACTTTTTTGGGGCCTTCGTTGGAAACGGGATTTCTTCATATAAAACTTGACAGAAGAATTCTCAGAAACTTCTTTGAGATATTTGTATTCAACTCACAGTGTTGAACCTTCCTTTCGATAGAGCAGTTTCGAAATACTCTTTTTGTAGAATTTCAAATTGCATATTTAATGCAGTCTGCGGCCTGTGGAAGAAAAGGAAATATCTTCATAGAAAATCTAGACAGAATCATTCTCAGAGTCGATTTTGTGAGGTGTGCATTCAGCTTACCGAGTTTAACCTATCTTTTGGTAGAGCAGTTATGAAACACTCTTTTTGTGCAATTTGCTAGTGTATATTTCGAGCACTTTGAGGCCTATGGTAGAAAAGCAAATATCTTCACATAAAAGCTAGACAGAAGCATTGTCAGAGACTACTTTGTGATATTTGCATTCAACTCACGGAGTTGAACATTCCTCTTGATAGAGCAGTTTTGAAACCCTCTTTTTGTAGAATCTGCAATTGGATATTTGGACCTGTTGGTGGCCTTCTTTTGAAACGTGATTTGTTCATATAAAGCTAGACAGAAGGATTCTCAGAAACTTCTTTGTGATGTGTGCTTTCAACTCACAGAGCTGAACCTTCCTTTCGAGAGAGGAGTACTGAAGCTCTCTTTTTGTAGAATTTCCAAGTGGATATTTAGTGCCGTTTGAGGACTGTGGTAGAAAAGGAAATATCTTCATAGAAAAACCAGACAGAATGATTCTCAGAAACTACTTTGTGATGAGTGCGTTCACCTCCATAGTTTAACCTCTCTATTGAGAGAGCAGTTTTGAAACACTCTTTTTGTAGAATCTGCAAGGGAATATTTGGACTTTTTTGAGGCCTTCTTTGTAAACGGGATTTCTTTACATAAAACTTGACAGAAGAATATCCAGAAACTTCTTTGTGATGTGTGCATTCAACTCAAAGGGTTGAACCTTCCTTTCGATAGAGCAGTTTTGAAACTTTATTTTATAGAATTTCCAAGTGTATATTTAGCGCCGTTTGAGGAGTATGGTAGAAAAGGAAATATCTTCATAGAAAAACTAGACAGAATCTTTCTCCGAAACAACTTTGTGATGTGTGCATTCAGCTTGCAAAGTTTAACCTTTCTTTTGATAGAGCAGTTTTGAAGCAGTCTTTTCTTGGAATTTGCAAATGTATATTTAGAGCGCTTTGAGGCCTACGGTAGAAAAGGAAATGTCTTCACATAAAAACTAGACAGAAGCATTGTCAGAAACTACTTTGTGATATTTGCATTCCACTCACAGAGGTGAGCATTCCTCTTGATAGAGCAGTTTTGGAAGACTCCTTTTCAAGAATCTTGCAATTGATTATTTGGACGTCTTTGTGGCCTTCGTTTGAAACGGGATGTCTTCATATAAAACTAGACAGAAGAATTCTCAGAACCTTCTTCGTGATGTGTGCTTTCAACTCACAGGGTTGAACCTTCCTTTCGATAGAACAGTTTCGAAACTCTGTTTCCGTAGTATTTCCCAGAGGATATTTAACGCCGTTTGAGTCCTCTTGTGTATCTTCATAGAAAAACAAGGCAGAATGATTCTCAGAAACTACTTTTTGATGTGTGCGTTGAACTCACAGAGTTTAACCTTTCTTTTGATAGAGCAGTTTTGAAACAATCTTTTTGTAGAATCTGCAAGTGAATATTTGGACTTGTTTTAGGCCATCGTTGGAAACGGGATTTCTTCTCGCAAAACTTGACAGAAGAATTATCAGGAACTTCTTTGTGATGTGTGCATTCAACTCACAGAGTTGAACCTTCCTTTCGATAGAGCAGTTTTGAAATACTCTTTTTGTGGAATGTGCAAGTGGATATTTACAGCGGTCTGTGGCCTGTGGTGAAAAGGGAAATATCTTCATTGAAAACTTAGACAGAATCATTCTCAGAAACTAATTTGTGATGTATTCGGCTTACAGAGTTTAACCTTCCTTTCGATAGAGGAATTTTGAAATACTCTTTTTGTAGGATTTCCAAGTGGATATTAATAGCGGTTTGAGGCCTGTGGTATAAAAAGGAAATATCTTCACATAAAAGCTAGGCAGAACTTTGACAGAAACTACTTTTTGATATTTGCGTTCAAAACACAGAATTGAACATTCCTCTCGATAGAGCAGTTTTGAAACACTCTTTTTGTAGAATCTGCAAGTGGATAATTGGACCTCTTAGTGGCCATCTTTTGAAACGTGATTTCTTCATATTAAACTAGACAGTAGAATTCTCAGAAACTTCTTTGGGATGTGTGCTTTCAATTCACAGAGCTGAATCTTCCTCTCGATAGAGCAGTTTTGAAACTCTCACTTTGTAGAATTTCCAAGTGGATACTTAGCGCCGTTTGAGGCCAATGGTAGAAAAGTCAATATCTTCGTAGAAAAATTAGATAGAATGATTCTCAGAAACTACTTTGTGTTGTGTGCATTCAACTCACAGAATTTAACCTTTCTTTTCATAGAGCAGTTTTGAAACATTCTTTTTGTAGAATCTGTACTTGAATATTTGGACATTTTGAGGCCTTCGTTGGAAACGGAATTTCTTCATATAAAACTTGACAGAAGAATTTTCAGAAACTTATTTGGGAGGTGTGCATTCAACTCACAGTGTTGAAACTTCCTTTCAATAGAGCAGTTCTGAAATACTCTTTTTGTAGAATTTCCAAGTGGTATTTCGTGCGGTTTGAGGCCTATGGTGGAAAAGGAAATGTCTTCACAGAAAAACAAGATAGAATCATTATCAGAAACTACTTTGTGATGTGTGAATTAAGCTTACAGGGCTTACACTTTCTTTCTATAGAGCAGTTTTTAAACACTCTTTTTGTGGAATTTGCAAGTGTGTATTCAGAGTGCTTCTAGGCCTACGGCAGAAAAGTAAATATCTTCACATAAAAACTAGACAGAAGCATTGTCAGAAACTACTTTGTGATATTTGCATTCCACTCCCAGAGTTGAGCTTTCATCTTGATAGAGCAGTTTTGAAACACTCTTTTTGTAGAATCTGCAATTGGGTATTTGGACCTCTTGGTGGCGTTCGTTTGAAACGTGATTTCTTCATAGAAAACTAGAGGGAAGAATTCTCAGAAACTTCTTTGTGATGTGTGCTTTTAACTCACAGAGTTGAACCTTCCTTTCGATAGAAGAGTTTTGAAACTCTCTTTTTGTAGAATTTCCAAGAGGATATTTAGCGCCGTTTGAGGCCTATGGTAGAAAAGGCAATATCTTCGTAGAAAAACTAGACAGAATGATTCTCAGAAACTGCTTTGAGATGTGTGCGTTTAACTCACAGAGTTGAAACTTTCTTTTGATAGAGCGGTTTTGAAACACTCTTTTCGTAGAATCTGCAAGTGAATATTTGGACTTTCTTGAGGCCTTCGTTGGAAACGGGATTTCTTCAACTTGACAGAAGAATTGTCAGTAACTTATTTGGGAGGTGTGCATTCAACTCACAGAGCTGAACCTTCCTTTCGATAGAGTAATTTTGAAATAATCTTTTTTTCAGAATTTCCAAGTGGATATTTAGTGCGGTTTGAAGCCTATGGTAGAAAAGGAAATAACATAAAAACTAGACAGGATTGTCAGAAAGTGTTTTGTGATATTTGCATTCAACTCACAGAGTTGAACATTGCTCTTGATAGAGGAGTTTTGAAACACTCTTTTTGTGGAATGTGCAAATGGATATTTGGACCTCTTTGTGGCCTTCGTTTGAAACGTGATTTCTTCATATAAAACTAGAGAGAAGAAGTCTAAGAAACTTCTTTGTGATGTGTGCTTTCAACTCACAGATTTGAACCTTCAATTCGATACAGCAGTTTTGAAACTCTTTTTTTCGAATTTCCAAGTGGATATTTAGAGCTGTTTGAGGCCTATGGTAGAAAACACAATATCTTCATAGAAAAACTAGACAGAATGATTCTCAGAAACTACTTTGTGATGTGAGCATTCAACTCACAGAGTTTAAACTGTCTTTTGAGAGAGCAGTTTTGAAACACCCTTTTTGTGGAATTTGCAATGGTATGTTTATAGTGCTTTGAGGCCTACGGTAGAAAACGAAATATTTTCACATAAAAACTAGACAGAAGCGTTGTCAGAAACTAGTTTTTGATATTTGATTTCAACTCACAGGGTTGAACATTCCTCTTGATAGAGCAATTTTGAAACACTCTTTTTTTTTGAATCTGGGAGTGGATATTTGGACCTCTTTGTGGCCTTCGTTTAAAAGGGATTTCTTAATATAAATCTATACAGAGGAATTCTCAGAAACTTCTTTGTGGTGTGTGCTTTCAACTCAAACGTCTGAACCTTCCTTTCGATAGAGCAGTTTTGAAAGTCTCTTTTTGTACTGTTTCCAAGTGGATATTTAGCATCGTTTGAGGTCTATGGTAGTAAAGGCAATATCTTCATGGAAAACTAGTCAGAATAATTCTCAGAAAGTATTTTCTGATGTGTGCGTTCAACTCACAGAGATAGACTTTTCTTTTGAAAGAGCAAATTTGAAACACTCTTTTTGTAGAGTCTGCAAGTGAATATTTGTACTTTTTTGGGACTTTCGTTGGAAACGGTTTTTCTTCACATAAAACTTGGCAGAAGAATTCTCAGAAACTACTTTATGATGTGTGCATTCAACTCACAGTGTTGAACATTCCTCTTGATAGAGCAATTTTGAAACACTCTTTCTGTTGAATCTGGGAGTGGATATTTGGACCTCTTTGTGGCCTTCCTTTGAAAAGGGATTTCTTAAGATAAAACTAGACAGAAGAATTCTCAGAAAATTCGTTGTGATGTGTGCTTTCAACTCAAACTGTTGAAATTTCCTATCGAGGGAGCAGTTTTCAACCTCTCTTTTTGTACTGTTTCCAAGTGGATATTTAGCGTCGTTTGAGGCCTATGGTAGACAAGGCATTATCTTCATGGAAAACTAGTCAGAATCATTTTCAGAAAGTATTTTCTGGTGTGTGCGTTCAACTCACATAGATAGAATTTTCTTTGGGAAGAGCAGTTTTGAAACACTCTTTTTGTAGAATCTGCAAGTGAATATTTGGACTTTTTTTGGGCTTTCGTTGGAAACGGTTTTTCTTCATATAAAACTTGGCAGAAGAATTCTCAAAAACTTCTTTGGGATTTGTGCATTCAACTCACAGTGTTGAACCTTCCTTTCGATGGATCAGTTTGAAATACTCTTTTTATAGAATTTCCAAGTGGATATTTAGAGCGATTTGAGGCCTGTTCTATAAATGGAAATATCTTCATAGAATAAATAGACAGAAGCATTGTCAGAAACTACTTTGTGATATTTGCATTCAACTCACAGAGTTGAATATTCCTCTTGATGGAGTTGTTTTGAAACACTCTTTTTGTAGCATCTGCAACTGGATATTTGGACCTTTTGTGTCCTTCGTTTGAAACGTGATTTCTTCATATAAAACTAGACAGAAAACTTCTCAGAAACTTCTGTTTGATGTGTGCTTTCAACTCACAGAGTTAAAACTTCCTTTCGATAGAGTAGTTCTGAAACTCTATTTTTGTAGAATTTCATAGGGATAATTAGCACTGACTGTGGCCAATGGTAGAAAAGGCAATTTCTTCATAGAAAAACAAGACAGAATGATTCTCAGAAACTAATTTGTGATGTGTGCGTTCAACTCACAGATTTTAACCTTTCTTTTGATACAGCAGTTTTGAAAAACTCTTTTTGTAGAATGTACAAGTGAGTATTTGGACTGCTTTGAGGCCTTCGTAGGAAATGAGATTTCTTCATGTAAAACTTGACAGAAGAATTCTCAGAATCTTCTTTGTGATGTGTGCATTCAAAGCAAAGAGTTGAACTTTCCTTTCGATAGAGCAGTTTTGAAATACTCTTTTTGTAGAATTTCCAAGTTTATATTTAAAACGGTTTGAGGCCTATGGTAGAAAAGGAAATATCTTCATTGAAAACCTAGACAGAATCATTCTCAGAGACTTCTTTGTGATGTGTGCATTCAGCATTCAGAGTTTAACATATCTTTTGATTGAACAGGTCTGAAACACACATTTTGTGGAATTTGTAAGTGTATACTTTGAGCGCTTTGAGACCTACGGTAGAAAAGGAAATATCTTCACATAAAAACTAGACAAAAGCATTGTCAGAAATACTTTGTGATATTTGCATTCAACTCCCAGAGTTGAACATTCCTCTTGATGGAGCTGTTTTGAAACACTCTTTTTGTGGAATCTGGGAGTTGCTATTTGGACCTCTTTGTGGCCTCGTTTGAAACGTTATTCCTCCATTTACAACTAGACAGAAGAATTCTCGGAAACTTCTTTGTGATGTATGCTTTCAACTAACAGAGTTGAAGCATCCTCTCGATAGAGCAGTTTTGAAACTCTCTTTTTGTAGAATTTCCTAGTGGATATTTAGCGCCATTTGAGGCCTTTGGTAGAAAATGCAATATCTTTATAGAAATACTAGACAATGATTCTCAGAAACTACTTTGTGATGTGTGCGTTCAACTCACAGAGTTTAACGTTTCTTTTGGTAGAGAAGTTTTGAAACACTCTTTTTATAGAATCTGTAAGTGAATATTTGGACTTTTTTGAGGCCTTCGTTGGAAAAGGGATTTCTTAATATAAAACTTGAGAAAAGAATTCTCCGAATCTTCTTTGTGATGTGTGCATTCAACTCACAGAGTTGAACCTTCCTTTCTATAGAGCAGTATTGATATACTCTTTTTGTAGGATTTCCAAGTGGATATTTAGAGGGTTTTGAGGCCTATGGTTGAAAAGGAAATATCTTCATAGAAAAACAAGACAGAAGCATTCTCCGAAACTATATTGTGATGTGTGCATTCAGCTTACGGAGTTTAAACTTTCTCTTAATAGAGCAGTTTTGAAACACTCTTTCTGTGGAATATGCAATTGTATATTTACAGCGTTTTGAGGCTTATGGTAGGAAAGAAAATATCTTCACATAAAAACTAGACAGAAGCATTGTCAGAAACTACTTTTTGATATTTGCATTCCACTCACAGAGTTGATCATTCCTCTTGATGGAGCAGTTTTGAAACGCTATATTAGTAGAATCTGTAAGTGGATATTTGGACCTCTTTGTGGCCTTCTTTTGAAACGTGATTTCTTCATTAACAACTAGAGAGAAGAATTCTCAGCAACTTTTTTGTGATGTGTGCTTTCAACTCAGAGAGTTGAAGCTTCCTTTCGATAGAGCAGTTCTGAAACTCTCTTTTTGTAGAATTTCCAAGTGGATATTTAGCGCCGTTTGAGGCCTAGGGTAGAAAAGGCAATATCTTCATATAAAAACTAGACAGAATGATTCTCAGAAGCTACTTTGTGATGTTTGCATTCAACTCACAGAGTTTAACCTTTCTTTTGATAGAGCAGTTTTGAAAAGCTCTTTTTGTAGAATCTGCAAGAGAATATTTTGACTTTTTGAGGCCTTCGTTGGAAACGGAATTTCTTCATATAAAACTTGACAGAAGAATTCTCAGAAACTTCTTTGTGATGTGTGCATTCGATTCACAGAGATGAACCTTCCTTTCGATAGAGCAGTTTTGAAATACTCTTTTTGTAGAATTTCCAAGTGGATATTTAGAGCGGTTTGAGGCCTATAATAGAAAAGGAAATAACTTCATAGAAAAACTAGGCAGAATCATTCTCAGAAACTGCTTGTGATGTGTGCATTCAGATTACACAGTTTAGCATTTCTTTTGATGGAGCAGTTTTGATACAAACTTTTTGTGGAATTTGCGAGAGTATATTTAGTGAGCTTTGAGGCATACCATAGAAAAGGAAATATCTTCACATAAAAACTGGACAGAAGCTTTTTCAGAAACTACTTTTTGATGTTTGCATTCAACTCATAGAGTTGAACATTCCTCTTGATAGAGCAGTTTTGAGAAACTCTTTTGTAGAATCTGCAAGTTTATATTTGAACCTCTCTGTGGCCTTCGTTTCAAACGTGATTTCTTAATATAAATCTAGACAGAAGAATTCTCAGAAACTTCTCTGTGATATGTGCTTTCAACTCACAGAGTTGAAACTTCCTTTCGATAGAGGAGTTTTGAAACTCTCTTTCTGTGGAATTTCCAAGTGGATACTTAGCACCGTTTCAAGCCTATGGTAGAAAAGGCAATAGCTTCATACAAAAACTAGACAGAATGATTCTCAGAAACTACTTTGTGATGTGTGCATTCAACTCACAGAGTTGAACCTTTCTTTTGATTGATAGAGCATTTTTTAAACACCCTTTTTGTAGAATCTGGAAGTGGATATTTGGAACTGTTTGTGGCCTTCCTTTAGAATCGTGATTTCTTCATATAAAACTAGACATAAGAATTCTCAGAAACCTCTTTGTGATTTGTGCTTTCAACTCACAGAGTTGAAATTTCCTTTCGATAGAAGAGTTTTGAAACTCTCTTTTCGTAGAATTTCCAACTGGATAGTTAGCGCCGTTTCAGGCCTATGGTAGAAAAGGAAATACCTTCGTAGAAAAGCTAGACAGAATGATTCTCAGAAACTACTTTGTGATGTGTGCGTTCAGCTCAGAGAGTTTAACCATTCTTTTGATAGAGCAGTTTTGAAACACTCTTTTGGTAGTATCTGCAAGTGAATATTTGGGCTTTTTTAGGCCTTCTTTGGAAACGGGATTTCTTCATATAAAACTTGATGGAAGAATTCACAGAAACTTCTTTGTGATATGTGCATTCGATTCACAGAGATGAACCTTCCTTTCTACAGAGCAGTTTTGAAATACTCTTTTTCTAGAATTTCCAAGTGGATATTTAGTGCGATTTGAGGCCTATGGTAGAAAAGGAAATGCCTTCATAGAAAAACAAGATAGAGTCATTATCAGAAACTACTTTGTGATGTGTGCATTAAGCTTACAAGGCTTAAACTTTCTTTTTATAGAGCAGTTTTGAAACACTCTTTTTGTGGAATTTGCATGTGTATATTTAGAGTGCTTTGAGACCTACGGCAGAAAAGGAAATATCTTCACATGAAAACTAGACAGAAGTATTGTGAGAAACTACTTTGTGATATTTGCATTCAACTCCCAGATTTGAACATTCCTCTTGATAGAGCAGTTTTGAAACACACTTTTTGTAGTATCTGCAAGTGGATATTTGGAAATCTTGGTGGCCTTCATTTGAACCGTGATTTCTTCTTATAAATCTATACAGAAGAATGCACAGAAACTTTTTTCTGATATGTGCTTTCAACTCACATTGTTGAACCTTCCTTTCGATACAGCAGTTTTGAAACTCTCTTTTCGTAGAATTTCCAAGTGGATATTTAGCGCCGTTTGTGGCCTATGGTAGAGAAGGCAATATCTTCGAAGAAGAACTAGACAGAATGATTCTCAGAAACTGCTTTGTGATGTGTGCATTCAGCTCAGAGAGTTTAACCCTTCTTTTGATAGAGCAGTTTTGAAACACTCTTTTTGTAGTATCTGCAAGTGAATAATTGGACTTTTTTGAGGCCTTCGTTGGAAACGGGATTTCTTCATATAAAATTTGACAGAAGAATTCTCAGAAACTTCTTTGTGATGTGTGCATTGAACTTGCAGAGCTGAACCTTCCTTTCTATAGAGCAGTTTGAAATACTCCTTTTGTAGAATTTCCAAGTGAATATTTACAACGGTTTGAGGCCTGTGGTAGAAAAGGAAATATCTTCATAGAAAACCAAGACAGAATCATTCTGAGTAACTGCTTTTTAATGTGTGCATTCAGCTTACAGAGTTTAACGTTTCTTTTGATAGAGCAGTTTTGAAACACTCTTTTTGTGGAATTTGCAAGTGTATATTTAGATCGCCTTGAGGGCTATGGTAGAAAAGGAAATATCTTCACATAAAAATTAGACAGAAGCATTGTCAGAAACTATTTTGTGATATTTGTATAGAACTCACAGAGTTGAACGGTCCTCTTCATAGAGCAGTTTTGAAATATTCTTTTTGTAGAATCTGCAAACGGATATTCGGACCTATTTGTTGCATTCATTTGAAACATGATTTCTTCATATAAAACTAGACAGAAGAATTCTCAGAAACTTCTCTGTGCTGTGTGCTTTCAACTCACGGAGTTGAACCTTCCTTTCGATAGAGCAGTTTTGAAACTCTCTTTTTTTAGAATTTCCAAGTGGATATTCTGTGCAGTTTGAGGCCTAAGGTAGAAAAGGCCATGTCTTCATAGAAAAATTAGACAGAATGATTCTCAGAAACGGCTTTGTGATGTGTGCGTTCAACTCACAGAGTTTAACATTTCTTTTGATAGAGCGGTTTTGAAACACTCTTTTTGTAGAATCTGCAGGGGAATATTTGGACGTTTTTGAGGCCTTCGTTGGAAACGGGTTTTCATCATATTAAACTTGACAGAAGAATTGTCAGAAACTTATTTGGGAGGTGTGCATTCAACTCATAGAGTTGAACCTTCCTTTCGAAAGAGCAGTTTTAAAATACTCTTTTTTTAGTATTTCCAAGTGGTTATTTAGTGCGGTTTGAGGCCTATGGTAGAAAAGGAAATATCTTCATAGAAAAACAAGACAGAACAATTATCAGAAACTACTTTGTGATCTGTTCATTCAGCTGACAGAGTTTACCTTTTCTTCTGATAGAGCAGTTTTGAAACACTCTTTTTGTGGAATTTGCAAGTGTATATTAAGAGCGCTTTGAGGCTTAAGGTAGAGAAGGAAATATCTTCACATAAAAAATAAACAGAAGCATTGTCAGAAACAACTTTGTGATATTTGCATTTAACTCACAGAGTTGAACATTCCTCTTGATAGAGCAGTTTTGAAACACTGCTTTTTAGACTCTGCAATTGGATATTTTGACCCATCTGTGGCGTTCGTTTGAAACATGATTTCTACATATAAAACTAGACAGAAGAATTCTCAGAAGCTTCTTTGTGATGTGTGCTTTCAACTCACAGAGTTGAACCTCCCTTTCAATAGAGCAGTTTTGAAACTCTCTTTTTGTAGAATTTCCAAGTGGATATTTACCGGCGTTTGAGGCCTATGGTAGAAAAGGCAATATCTTCATAGAAAATCTAGACAGAATGATTCTCAGAAACTACTTTTTGATGTGTGCGTTCAACTCAGGGAGTTTAACCTTTCTTTTGATAGAGGAGTTTAGAAACACTCTTTTTGTAGGTTCTGCAAGTGAAAATTTGGTCTTTTTGAGGCCTTCTTTGGAAAAAGGATTTCTTCATGTAAAACTGGACAGAAGAATTCTCAGAAACTTATTTGGGAGGTGTGCGTTCAACTCACAGAGTTGAACCTTCCTTTCGATAGAGTAGTTTTGAAATACTCTATTTGTAGGCTTTCCAAGTGGATATTTAGTGAGGTTTGAGGCCTATGATAGAAAAGGAAATATCATCATAGAAAAACCAGATAGAATCATTATCAGAAACTACTTTGTGATTGGTGCATTCAGCTTACAAAGTTTAACCTTTCTTTTGATAGAGCATTTGTGAAATACTCTTTTTGTAGAATCTGCAAGTGGAAATTTGGACTTTTTTGAGGCCTTCTTTGGAAACGGGATTTCTTCATATAAAACTTGACAGAAGAATTGACAGAAACTTATTGGAGAGGTGTGTATTCAACTCACAGTGTTGAACCTTCCTTTCGATACAGCAGTTTTGAAATACACTTTTTGTAGCATTTAAAGTGGATATTTTTGTGCTGTTTGAGGCCTATGGTAGAAAAGGAAATGTCTTCAGAGAAAAACAAGATAGAATGATTATCAGAAACTACTTTGTGATGTGTGCATTCAACTTACAGAGTTTAACCTTTCTTTTGATAGAGCAGTTTTGAAATGCTCCTTATGTAGTATTTCCAAGTGAATATTTAGAGCCGTTTGAGGCTTATGCTAGAAAAGAAAATATCTTCATAGAAAAAGTAAACAGAGTCATTCTCAGAAACTACTTTGTGATGTGTGCGTACATCTAAAGATTTTAACCTTTGTTTTGACAGAGGAGTTTTGAAACACTCTTTTTGTAGAATCTGTTAGTGAATATTTGGACTTTTTCACGGCCTTCGTTGGAAATGGTATTTCTTCATATAAAACTTGATAGAAGAATTCTCAGAAACTTCTTTGTGATGTGTGCATTCTACTCACAGAGACGAAACGTCTTTTCAATGCAGCAGGTTTGAAACTCTCTTTTTGTAGATTTTCCAAGTGGATATTTAACGCCTTTCAAGCCTGAGGTATAAAGGGCAATATCTTCATAGAAAAACTAGACAGAATGATTCTCAGAAACCACTTTCTGATTTGTGCGTTCAACTCACAGAGTTTAACCTTTCTTTTGTCAGAGCAGTTTTGAAACACTCTTTTTGTAGAAACTGCAAGTTAATATTTGGACTTATTTGAGGCCTTCGTTGGAAAAGGGGTTTCTTCTGATAAAACGTGGCAGAAGAATTCTCAGAAACTCCTTTGTGATGTGTGCATTCAACTCACAGTGTTGAATCTTCCTTTCGATAGAGCAGTTTTGAAATACTCTTTTTGTAGAATTTCCAAGTGGATATTTAGAGCGGTTTGAGGCCTGTGGTAGAAAAGGAAATGTCTTCACTGAAAAACTAGACATAATCACTGTTAGAAACTATTTTGTGATGTGTGCATTCAGCTTACAGACTTTAACATTTCTTTTGATAGAGCAGTTTTGAAACTCTCTTTTTGTGGAATTTGCAAGTGTATATTTAGAGCGCTTTGAGGCCTATGGTAGAAAAGGAAATATCTTCACATAAAAAATTGACAGAAGCATTGTCAGAAGCTTCTTTGTGATATCTGCATTCAACTCACAGAGTTGAACATTCCTCTTGATAGAGCAGTTTTGAAACACTTTTTTTGTAGTATCTGCAGGAGGATATTTGGACCTCTTTGTGGCCTTCGTTTGAAAAGTGATTTCGTGAAAGAAAACTAGACAGAAAAATTCTAAGAAACTTCTTTGTGATGTGTGCTTTCAACTCACACAGTTGAACTTTCCTTTCGATAGAGCAGTTTTTAAACTCTCTTTTTGTAGAATTTCCAAATGGATAATTACGGCCGTTTCAGGCCCATGGTAGAAAAGGCAATATCTTCATGGAAAAATTAGACAGAATGATTTTCAGAAGTACATTTTGCTGTGTGCTTTCACCACACAGAGTTTAATCTTTCTGTTGATAGAGCAGTTTCGAAACACTGTTTTTTAGAATCTGCAAGTGAATATTTGGAGTTTTTGAGGGCCTTCGTTGGAAACGGGATTTCCTCATATAAAAGGTGACAGAAGAATTCTCAGAAACTCCTTTGTGATGTGTGCATTCAACTCACAGAATTGAAACTTCCTTTCGATAGAGCAGTTTTGAAAAACTCTTTTTGTAGAATTTCCAAGCGGATATTTAGAGCAGTTTGAGGCCTGTGGTAGAAAAGGAAATATCTTCATGGAAAAATTAGACAGAATCATTCACAGAAACTACTTTTGATGTTTGCATTCAGCTTAGAGAGTTTAATCTTTCTTTTGATAGAGCAGTTTTGAAACACTGTTTTTGTAGAATCTGCAAGTGAATATTTGTACTTTTTGGGGGCCTTCGCTGGAAACGGGATTTCTTCATATAAAACGTGAGATAAGAATTATCAGAAACTTCTTTGTGATGTGTGCTTTCAACTCACAGAGTTGAACCTTCCTTTCCATAGAGCAGTTTTGAAACTCTCTTTTTGTAGTATTTCCAAGTGGATATTTAACACCATCTGAGGCCTATGGTAGTAAAGGCAATATATTCATAGAAAAACTAGACATAATTATTCTCAGAAACTACTTTGTCATGTGTGCTTTCAACTCACAGAGTTTAACTTTTCTTTTGATAGAGCAGTTTTTAAACACTATTTTTGTAGAATCTGTAAATTGAATATATAGACTTTTTTGGGGCCTCCGTTGGAAACGGGTTTTCTTCATTTAAAACGTGACAGAAGAAGTCTCAGAAACTTCTTTGGGATGTGTGCATTCAACTCACAGTGTTGAACATTTCTTGCGATAGAGCAGTTTTGAAATACTCTTTTTGTAGAATTTCCAAATGGATATTTTGAGCGGTTTGAGGTCTGTGGTAGAAAAGGAAATATCTTCATAGAAAAACTAGACAGAATCATTCTCCAAAACTACATTGCGATGTGTGCATTCGCGTAAAAGAGTTTCACCTTTTTTCTGATAGAGGCGTTTTGAAACACTCTTTTTGTGGAATTTGCAAGTGTATATTTAGAGCGCTTAGTGGCATACGGTAGAAAAGGAAATATCTTCACATAAAAACTAGGCAGAAGCATTGTCACAAACTACTTTGTGATATTTGCATTCAACACACAGAGTTAAACTTTCCTCTTGATAGAGCAGTTTTGAAACACTCTTTTTGTAGGATCTGCGAATGTATATTTGGACCTCTTTGTGGCCTTCTTTAGAAACGTGATTTCTTCGTCTAAAACTACACAGAAGAATTCTCAGAAACTTTTTTGTGATGTGTGCTTTCAACTCACAGACTTCAACCTTCATTTCGATAGAGCAGTTTTGAAATAATCTTTTTGAAGTATTTCCAAGTGGATATTTAGAGTGGTTTGAGGCCTGTGGTAGAAAAGGAAACATCTTCGTAGAAAAACTTGACAGAATCATTCTGAGAAACTTCTCTGTGATGTGTGAATTCAGCTAACAGAGTTTAATCTTACTTTTCATAGAGCAGTTTTGAAACACTCTTTTTGTGGTATTTGTAAGTGTGTATTTAGAGTGCTTTGAAGCCAACTGTAGAAAATGAAATATCTTCAAATAAAAACTAGAGAGAAGCATTGTTAGAAACTACTTTGTGATATTTGCAACCAACTCACAGAGTTAAATATTCCTCTTGACAGAGTAGCTTTGAAACACTCATTTGTAGGAACTGCAAGTGGATATTTGGACCTCTTTGTGGCCTTTGATTGAAACATTATTTCTTCATATAAAACTAGACTGAAGAATTCTCAGAAACTCCTTTGTGATGTGTGCTTTCAACTCATAGAGTTCATCCTTCCTTTCGATAGAGCAGTTTTGAAACTCTCATTTTGTATAATTTCCAAGTGGATATTTATCGCCGTTTGAGGCCTATGGTAGAAAAGGCAATAATTTCATAGAAACACTAGACAGAATGATTCTCAGAAACTACTTTGTGGTGTGTGCGTTCATCTCACAGAGTTTAACCTTTCTTTTCACAGAGCAGTATTGAAACACTGTTTTTGTAGAATCTGCAAGTGAATATTTGGACTTATTTCAGGCCTTCGTTGGAAAAGGGATTTATTCATACAAAACTTGACAGAAGAATTCTCAGAAACTTCTTTGTGATGTGTGCATTCAAGTCACAGAGTTGAACCTTCCTTTCAATAGAGCAGTTTTGAAATTCTCTTTTTGCAGAATTTCCAAGTGGATATTTAGAGCGGTTTGAGGCCTATGGTAGAAAAGGAAATATATTTACAGAAAAACTAGACAGAATCATTCTCAGAAACTACTTTGTGATGTGTGCATTCAGCTTATAGAGTTTAACCTTTCTTTTGATACAGCAGTTTTGAAACCCTCTTTTTGTGGAATTTGGAAGTGTATATTTAGAGGGCTTTGAGTCCTACGGTAGAAACGGAAATATCTTCACATAAAAACTAGACAGAAGCGTTGTCATAAACTACTTTTTGATATTTGCATTCAAAACACAGAATTGAACATTCCTCTCGATAGAGCAGTTTTGAAACACTCTTTTTGTAGAATCTGCAGGTGGATATTTGAACCTCTTTGTGGCCTTCCTTTGAAAAGTGATTTCTTCATATAAAACTAGACAGTAGAATTCTCAGAAAATTCTTTGTGATGTGTGCTTTCAACTCTCAGAGTTGAACCTTCCTTTCGATATAGCAGTTTTGAAACTCTCTTTTTGTAGAATTTCCTAGTGGATATTTAGCGCCGTTTGAGGCTTATGGTAGAAAAGGCAATATCTTCATAGAAAAACCAGTCAGAATGATTCTCAGAAACTACTTTGTGATGTGTGTATTCAACTCACAGAATTTAACTTTGCTTTTCATAGAGGAATATTGAAACACTCTTTTTGTAGAATCTGCAAGTGAATATTTGGACTTTTTAGACCCTTCGTTGGAAAGAGGATTTCTTCATATCAAACTTGACAGAAGAATTCTCAGAAACTTCTTTGTGATGTGTGCATTTAACTCACAGTGTGGAACCTTCCTTTCTATGGAGCAGTTTTGAAATACTCTTTTTGTAGTATTTCCAAGTGGATATTAAGGGCGGTTTGAGGCCTATGGTACAAAAGGAAATATCTTCATAGAAAAACTACACAGAAACCTTCTCAGAAACTACTTTGTGATGTGTGCTTTCAGCTTTCAAAGTTTAACCTTTCTTTTGATGGAGTAGTTTTGAAACACTCTAATTGTGGAATTTGCAAGTGTATATTTAGAGCGCTTTGAGTCCTACGGAAGAAAAGGAAATATCTTCACATAAAAACTAGACGGAAGCATTGTCAGAAACTAATTTGTGACATTTGCATTCAATTCACAGAGTTGAACAATCCTCTTGATAGAGCAGTCTTGAAACACTCTTTTTGCAGAATCTGAAAGTGGATATTTTGACCTCTTTGAGGCATTCGTTTGAAACGTGATTTCTTCATTTACAACTAGACCGAAGAATTCTCAGAAACTTCTTTGTGATGTGTGCTTCCAACTCACAGAGTTGAACCTTCCTTTCGTTAGAACACATTTGAAACTCTCTTTTGTAGAAGTTCCAAGGGGATATTTAGCGCTGTTTGTGGCCTACGGTAGAAAAGGAAACATCTTCAGAGAAAAACTGACAGAATGATTCTCAGAAACTTCTTGGTGATGTGTGCGTTCAAATCACAGTGTTTAACCTTGTTGTTGGTAGAGCAGTTTTGAAACTCTCATTTTGTAGAAACTGCAAGTGAATATCTGTACTTTTGTAATGCCATTGTTGGAAATGGGATTTCTTCATATAAAACGTGACAGAAGAATTCTCAGAAACTACTTTGTGATATATGCTTTCAACTCAGAGTTGAAACTTCCTTTTGATAGAGCAGTTTTGATACTCACTTTTTGTAGAATTTCCAAGTGAATATTTAGCGATGTTTGAGGCCTATGGTAGAAAAGGCAATATCTTCATAGAAAAACTAGACAGAATGATTCTCAGAAACTACTTTGTGGTTTGTGCGTTCAAATCGCAAAGTGTAAGCTTTCTTTTGATAGGGCAGTTTTGAAACACTCTTTTTGTAGACTGTGCAATTGAATATTTAGACTTTTTTGAGGCCTTCGTTTGAAACGGGATTTCCTCATATAAAACTTGACAGAAGAATACTCAGAAACTTCATTGAGATGTGTGCATTCAACTCACAGAGTTAAACCTTCCTGTCGATAGATCAGTTTTGAAATACTCTTTTTGTAGAATTTATAAGTGGCTATTTAGAGGGGTTTTGGGCCTATGGTAGTAAAGGAAATATCTTCTTAGAAAAACTAGACAGAATCATTCTCAGAAACTACTTTGTGATTTCTGCATTCAGCTTACAGAGTTTAACTTTTCTTTTGATAGAGCAGTTTTGAAACACTCTTTTCATGGAAATTGCAAGTGTATATTTAGAGCGCTTTTAGGCCTACGGTAGAAAAGGAAATATTTTCACACAAAAACCAGACAGAAGCATTGTCAGAAACTACATTGTGATATTTGCATTCATCTCACAGAGTTGAACATTAATTTTGATAGAGCAGTTTTGAAACACTCTTTTTGTAGAATCTGCAATTGCATTTTGTACCTCTTTGTGACCTTCGTTTGAAACTTGATTTCTTCATCTAAATCTAGACATAAGAATTCTCAGAAACTTCTTTGTGATTTGAAACTCTGTGATTTGA